>NC_000020.11:4611789-4763304 GCF_000001405.40 Homo sapiens | reverse complement strand
CCAGCTTGGGCAACATAGCGAGACCCCGTCTCTACAAACAAAGAAAAATGCAATGACATTTCAAACATTGAGATGTTCCCTTAACAAGGCCAATAATTTTGGTCTCTGGTATTTGGTATTTGGAATTTAGGCTATATTTTATTTATTTATTTATTTATTTATTTATTTATTTATTTTTTCTCCTTTTTGAGACAGGGTCTTGCTCTGTCATATAGGCTGGAGTGGAGTGGCAGAATGTCGGTTCACTGCAGACTTAACCTCCTGGGCTCAGGCTATCCTCCTGCCTCAGCCACCTGAGTAGTTGGGACTACAGGCATATCTATGCCCAGCTAATTTTTGTATTTTTTGTAGATATGGGGCTTCACCATGTTGCCCAGGCTGGTCTCGAATTCCTGAGCTCAAGCAATCTGCCTGCCTCAGCCTCCCAAAATGCTGGGATTATAGGCGTGATCCACCGTGCCTGGCTATCCTTCTTTAGACTCTGCCTGGAGGTGGTCCCAAGGCTGATCGGGTTGGGGACCTGTATCTTTCCTCCATGTGGTCCCCCAGTGACTTCCAATTGCACTTAGAATGAACTTAGACCTAGACAGACTTCAAGTACCTCATCAGCAGCCCCTGGCTACAGCCTCAACCTCCTCTTGCGTACCTGCCCTCCTGCTCCCTTTGCTCACAACGGTCTCCCCATGCCCTCATTGCATTCTCACCGGGGGCCCTTCCAATGCAGCGTTTCCTCTGCCTGCAGCATCTTGGCAGGAAGAGACAAGATCCTGGCATGGCTAACTCCTTCTAGTTCATTCTCACTTTTCAGGTCTCAGCTCAAATGTCCCCTTTGCAAAGAGACCATCCTGATCACCCTAGTTAATGTCTTCCTTTCCCAGCTATTCTTCTTCTTATATAGAAAAGATTTTTGTTGAAAAATGTGCGTACAATGAAACACACCTATCTTAAGTGTTCAGTTTGGAGAGTTTGGCCAAACGTATACATCCATGTAGCAATGCCCCAATCAAGGATACGATAGTCTCCCCTTATCCATGGGGGATACATTCCAACACCTCCAGTGCATGCCTGGGACCACGGATAATACTGATCCTTATTGCCATCAATCAGAACACATGTCTCTTCATGTTTTTATCCACAGAGTTAATGCCTTTTCCATCTTAACTAAGCTCTTATCATGCACCATGGCCATTACTTTGCAGTCCGAGGTGTGACAGCAAAACTAGCATATATTTCTTTTTTCCATCTCCAGAATTTCATGAATCAAAGCTTCCTTGTTATCACAGATCTTAGCAACCTCAGCTAAGGTTGCTGATTAAGTCCACAACTTTCACTTTTCCCCTTAAAGCACCTTGTAGCTTCTCTTTGGCATATCCAAATTGCCAGCATCACTATGCTTGTGCTTTGAAGCTATTGTTAAGTAAAACAAGGGTGACTTTGAACACAAACCCTGCCATACCTCGACGTCATCCGAAAAACTGAGATGGCTACTAAGTAACTAACGGGCCTGGAGCATGTACCGTGTGGACACGCTGGACAAAGGGATGATTCATCTCCGGGGCAGGACTGGGAGAGATGGCGCAAGATATCATCACGCTGCTCAGAATGGCATGCAATTTAAACTTAGGATTGTTTATTTCTGAAATGTTCCATTTAATATTTTTGAACCTCTGTTGAACATAGGCAACTCAAACTGCAGAAAGCAAAATCACAGCTAAGCCTTTTCCCAGCCTCTTCTTATTACCTTGCCTTGTTTCATTGATGTCACTTAGCTTGGCAGGACAGTGTTGTGCTTATTTATCTGTTTGTTGTCTCCCCAGAAAGCAGGCACCTCTCTGTCTTGCTTGCTGCTGTATTCCTCATGTTCAAGACAGCCTTCTTACTGGCACTGAAGGAACCATCTTTTGCATTTACGTGAGCATTGCAGGCTCTGACTTCCAATGCTGCCCCTGACCCAACTTCCGTGGGCTCAGGCATTGCCCTCTCCTTGGAGGGACAGAATTCAAGACGCAGGTGACTCGGGGCGGAGGGCACCCGCTGTCCCTCTGGCCCCGGGGGTGAGGATGCCAGAGGCTTTCCTCTCCCTCGCGCCCACCCTGAAAGCGCCACCTCGGAGTCACCGCCAGGGCCAGGAGGCGCCGCGGAAAAGCCAGACGTCGTTTTTGGCCCCTTTGGAATGTTTGGAGCACGTCTGGGTGTGAGAGCTAGAGTTTGCGTGCGTGAGGGGCGCTCTGCATCTTTCTTTCTAGCAGAACCCCCGACAGGTGTCCCCATAAGTCATCAAGGCAGACCATCAGAGACCATCTCCGCCAGGACCAGAGCGACGCCCTCGGGGCACTTTCTGTCTCTGTGACTGTAGGAGGGTTCCACCTCCTATATCAGCTGAATGTTACAGCAGGTTTGCCTGTCCCGAGGACGTCCCTGGGAAGGATTTGGGGCTAGGAAAGACCTGGGTGGGCTGGAGGGCTCCCGAGGACCAGCTCTGCGGAAGGCGTTCGTGCGGTTCTTCCGGCTGCCAGGCGTCTGGGAGGGTGGCCTTGCCCGGCGGGGTGGGTGGTGTCCGCGCGCCCCCTCGTGGCCCGGACGCGGTGCAACGCCCGCTCCCCCGCTCTTCCTAGCAGTGGCGCCAAAGTGAGGAGGAAAAAGACTATAACTTCTATCTTGATATAATTAACATTTTTAAATCTCAAAAATAGTGACATTTGGTCTTGGTGTCTTTACTTGGTTTGTGTGTCAGCCCCGCATCACGAGACACCTTCCCTGGGCTCAGTAGTTTGGGACCTAAAGCTTTTGACACACCTGGTGTGTTTTGATGCCTTCTGAACCAGACTTCCAGGTTCAAATCCTGTCTCCCCTGCAGTGAGACCTTGGATACTGTCTGCCTGCCTCCATTTCTTCATCTGCTTAATGGACGTAATATTAGTATCCATCTCATGGGACTGCTTCAGGGATTAAACATCTTTAAAATATTTAAGTGCAGATTAGAAGGGATCATGGCGGACTGGAGGCAGGACTAGATTGCAGCTCTGGACAGAGCAGCATGTGGGGGCTTACACTGTGAATTTTAGCTCCAGATCCACTACAAGAACAAACCAGCACTCCCAAGAGGACGCACAGATCCTCTGAAGGAAGCAGAGCGCTCCTGCAGGGCCGGGGAGACACCCCAAATACTGTCAGTGCCCCAACTGAGGAAGTGAACACACACCCCCAGTGGAGAAGCTGAAGTTCTGTTTGTGGGGGAAGTTTCTGACTTTACCTGGAGCTGAGTCAAGTTAGAGAGCCGACCGAAAGACAGGGGTACAGGAAGTAGCAGAAAGGCCCTGGGAGCTCGCTGGGTCCCCAAGCATCCCATTCCTGCCTGGCATAACAGGGATCCATCAGAAGGGTGGCTAGAGGAGCAGGGGATAAAACTCCACAGGGAGAAGGAATTCCCCAGCTGAATTTTGTAACAATTTGAATGGGGCAAGAAACCTCCTGGCCAGAACTTTGGGGAGGGTGCGAATCCAGCGGGCAGACTTCACAAGCAGGGGAAGAACTGAAGCCCTTTTCTCTCCCAGCTGGGAGGCGGATAGCCTCGGGCAAGTTTTCAAGCCTGTCACCTGCAGCCTGAAAACAGACTGGGCTGTTGGTGGGGGCACAGTGGGAGTGAGACGGGCCCTTTAGTTTGCGTGGGAGCTGGGTGAGGCCTGTGACTGCTGGCTTTCCCCCACTTCCCTGACAACCTGCAGGATTCAGCAGAGGCAGCCATAATCCTCCTAGGTACACAACTCCAGTGACCTGGGAATCTCACCTCCATCCCCCACAGCAGCCACAGCAAGACCCGCCCTAGGAGAGTCTGAGCTCAGACACGCCTAGCCCCACCCCCACCAGATGGTCCTTCCCTATCTACCCTGGGTGGAAGACAAAGGGCATATAATCTTGGGAGTTCTAGGGACTCACCCAACACCGGTACCTCTCCACGCTACTACAGCTGATGCTTTCTGGAAAGCGCCACCTCCTGGCAGGAGGCCAACCAGCACAAACATAGAGCATTAAGCCACCAAAGCTAAGGACCCTCACGACTTCCAGTGCACCCTCCGCCACCTCCACCGGAACAGGTGCTGGTATCCACGGCTGAGAGACCCATAGACAGTTCACATCACAGGACTCTGTGCAGACAACCCCCAGTGCCAGCCCAGAGCTGGGTAGACTCGCTGGGTGGCTAGGCCCAGAAAAGAGACAAAAATCACTGCAGTTCGGCTCACAGGAAGCCACATCCATAGGAAAAGGGATAGAGAACTACATTAAAGAAACAGCCAGTGGGATGAAAGAATCGGAACAACAGTCTTCAGCCCTAGACCTTCCCTATGACAGAGCCTACCCAAACGAGACGGAACCAGAAAACCAACTCTGGTAATGTGACAAAACAAGTCTCTTTAACACCTCCCGAAAATCACACTAGTTCACCAGCAATAGATCCAAACCAAGAAGAAACCCCTGATTTACCTGCAAAATAATTCAGGAGGTTAGTTATCAAGCTAATCAGGGAGGGACCAGAGAAAGGCGAGACCCAATGCAAGGAAATCCAAAAAATGATACAAGAAGTGAAGGGAGACATATTCATGGAAATAGATAGCTAAAAGAAAAAAACAATAAAAATTTAGCAAACTTTGGACACACTTTTAGAAATGTGAAATGCTCTGTAAATTCTCAACAATAGAATTGAACAAATAGAAGAAAGAAATTCAGAGCTCAAGGACAAGTCTTTGAATTAATCCAATCTAACAAAGACAAAGAAAAAAGAACAAGAAAATATGAACAAAGCCTCCAAGAAGTCTGGGATTATGTTAAACAATCAAACCTAAGAATAATCGGTGTACCTAAGAAGAGAATTCTAAAAGCCTGGAAAACATATTTGGGGGAATAATCGAGGAACAATTCCCCAGCCTTGTGAGGGACCTAGATATCCCAATACAAGAAGCGCAAAGAACACCTGGGAAATTCATCGCAAAAAGATCTTTGCCTAGGCACATTGTCATCAGGTTATCCAAAGTCAAGAGGAAGGAAAGAATCTTAAGAGCTGTGAGACAGAAGCACCAGGTAACTTATAAAGGAAAACCTATCAGATTAACAGCAGATTTCTCAGCAGAAACCCTACAAGCTAGTAGGGATTGGGGCCCTATCTTCAGCCTCCTCAAACAAAACAATTATCAGCCAAGAATTTTGTATCCAGCGAAACTAAGCATCATATATGAAGGAAAGATACAGTTGTTTTCAGACAAACAAATGCTGAGAGAATTCGCCATTACCAAACCACCACTACAAGAACTGCTAAAAGGAGCTCTAAATCTTGAAAAAAATTCTGGAAACACATCAAAACAGAACCTGTTTAAAGCATAAATCACATAGGACCTATAAAACAAAAATACAAGTTAAAAAGCAAAAACAAAAACCAAAGTACACAGGCAACAAAGAGCACAATGAAAGCAATGGTCCCTCACATTTCAATACTAACATTTAATGTAAACGGCCTAAATGCTCCACTTAAAAGATACAGAACCGCAGAATGGATAAGAGCTCACCAACCGGCTGGGCGCGGTGGCCCACGCCTGTAATCACAGCACTTTGGGAGGCCGAGGAGGGTGGATCACCTGAGGTTAGGAGTTCAAGACCAGTCTGACCAATATGATGTAACCCTATTTCTACTAAAAATACAAAAAAAAAAAAAAATTAGCCAGGCATGGTGGCATGCACCTGTAGTCCCAGCTTCTTGGGAGGCTGAGACACAAGAACTGCTTGAACCCAGGAGGTGGAGGTTGCAGTGAGCCGAGATTGCACCACTGCACTCCAGCCTGGGCAACAGAGTGTGACTCTGTCTCAAAAAAAAAAAAAAAAAAAAAAAAGAAATCACCAACCATCTGCTGCTTTCAGGAGACTTACCTAACACGTAAGGACTTACATAAACTTAAAGTAAAGGGGTGGAAAAAGACATTTCCTGCAAATGGACACCAAAAGCAAGCAGGGGTAGCTATTCTTATGTCAGACAAAACAAACTTTAAAGAAACAGTGATTAAAAGAGACAAAGAGGAACAGTATATAATAGTAAAAGGCCTTGTTCAACAGGAAAATATCACAGTCCTAAACATATATGCACCTAACACTGGAGGTCCCAAATTTATAAAACAATTACTAATAGACCTAAGAAATGAGATAGACAGCAACACAATAGCAGTGAGGGACTTCAATACTCCACTGACAGCACTAGACAGGTCAAGACAGAAAGTCAACAAATAAACAATGGATTTAAACTATACCTTGGAACAAATGGACTTAACAGATATATACAGAACATTTCATCCAACAATCACAGAATACACATTCTATTCAACAGTGCATGGAACTTTCTCCAAGATAGACCATATGATAGGCCATAAAATGAGCCTCAATACATTTAAGAAAATTGAAATTATATCAAGCACTCTGTCAGACCACAGTGGAATAAAACTGGAAATCAACTCCAAAAGGAACCTTCAAAACCATGCAAATACATGGAAATTAAATAACCTGCTCCTGAGTGAGCATTGGATCAAAAGCAAAATCAAGATGGAAATTTAAAAATTCATCAAACTGAATGACTAACGACACAACCTATCAAAACCTCTGGGATACAGCAAAGATGGTACTAAGAGGAACATTCATAGTCCTAAATGCCTAAATCAAAAAGTCTGAAAGAGCACAGATAATCTAAGGTCACACCTCAAGGAACTAGAGAGACAAGAACAAACCAAACCCACACCCAGCAGAAGAAAGAAAATAACCAAGATCAGAGCAGAACTAAATGAAATTGAAACAAACAAACAAAAAATACAAAAGATAAATGAAACAAAAAGCTGGTTCTTTGAAAAGATAAATAAAACTGATAGACCATTAACAAGATTAACCAAGAAAAGAAGAGAGAAAATCCAAACAAGTTCACTAAGAAACAAAACAGGAGATGTTACAACTGACACCACTGAAATACAAAAGAACATTCAAGCCTACTATGAACACCTTTATGCACATAAACTAGAAAACCTAGAAAAGATGGATAAATTCCTGGAAGAATACAACCCTCCTAGCTTAAATCAGGAAGAGTTAGATACCCTGAATAGACGAATAACACGCAGTGAGATTGAAATGTTAATTTAAAAATTACCGACAACAGAAAAGTCCAGGACCAGACAGATTTATGGCAGAATTCTACCAGACATTCAAAGGATTCCACAAGATAGAGAAAGAAGGAACCCTCCCTAATTCATTCTATGAGGCCAGCATCACCCAATACCAAAACCAGGAAAGGACATAACCAAAAAAGAAAACTACAGACCGATATCCTTGATGAACATAGATGCTAAAATCCTTAACAAAGTACTAGCTAGTCGAATCCAACAACATATCAAAAAGATAATCCACCCTAATCAAGTGGGTTTCATACCAGGGATGCAGAAATGGTTTAACATATGCAAGTCAATACATGTGATAACCACATAAACAGAATTAAGAACAAAAATCACATGATCATCTCGATAGATGCAGACAAAGCATTCTACAAAATCCAGCATCCCTTTATGATTAAAACTCTCAGGAAAATTGGCATACAAGGGACATACCTTAATGTAATAAAGCCATCTATGACAAACCCACAACCAACATAATACTGAATGGGGAGAAGTTGAAAGCATTCCCTTTGAGAACTGGAACAAGACAAGGATGCCCACTCTCGCCACTCCTCTTCAAGAGTACTGGAAATCCTAGCCAGAGCAATCGGACAAGAGAAAGAAACAAAGGGCATCCAGGCCGGGCGTGGTGTCTCACGCCTGTAATCCCAACACTTTGGGAGGCTGAGGTGGGCAATTCACCTGAGGTCAGAAGTTTGAGACCAGCCTGGCCAACATAGCGAAACCCCATCTCTACTAAAAATAGAAAAATTAGCTGGGCATGGTGGCAGGCCCCTGTAATCGCAGCTACTTGGGGGCCTGAGGCAGGAGAATCACTTGAACCCAGGAGGTGGAGGTTGCAGTGAGCCAAGATTATGTCACTGCACTCCAGCCTGGGCAACAAGAGTGAAAACTCCATCTCAGAGGAAAAAAAGAAAGAAAGAAAGAAAGAAAGAAAGAAAGAAAGAAAGAAAGAAAGAAAGAAAGAAAGAAAGAAAAGAAAGAAAGGGCATCCAGACTGGTAAAGAGGAAGTCAAACTGTCACTATTTGCCAATTATATGATTGTTTATCTTGAAAACCCTAAGGACTCCTCTAGAAAGCTCTTAGAACTGATAAAATAATTTAGCAACGTTTCCAGATACAAGATTAATGTATACAAATCAGTAGCCCTTCTATACATCAACAGGGACCAAGCAGATAATCAAATCAAGAACTTGACCCCTTTTACAATAGCTGCAAAAAAAAAAAATACTTAGGAATATACCTAACATAGGACTCAAAAGACCTCTGCAAGGAAAACTACAAAACACTGCTGAGAGAAATCATAGATGACACAAACAAATGGAAACACATTCCATGCTCATAGATGGGTAGAATCAATATTGTGAAAATGACCATACTACCAGAAGTAATCTACAAATTCAACTCAATCGGCATCAAATAGCACCATCATTCTTCACAGAATTAGAAAAAACAATTCTAAAATTCATATGGAACCAAAAAAGAGCACACATAGCCAAAGTAAGACTAAGCAAAAAGAACAAATCTGGAGGCATCACACTACCTGATTTCAAACTATACTCTAAGGCCATAGTCACCAAAACAGCGTGGTACTGGCATAAAAATAGGCACATAGACCAATAGAATAGAATAAAGAACCCAGAAATAAACCCAAATACTTACACCAACTGGTTGTCGACAAAGCAAACAAAAACATGCAGTGGGGAAAGGACACCCTTTTCAACAAATGGTGTTGGGATAATTGGCAAGCCATTTGTAGGAGAATGAAACTGGATCCCTATCTCTCACTTTATACAAAAATCAACTCAAGATGGATTAAGGACTTAAACCTAAGATCTGAAACTATAAAAATTCTAGAAGATAACATTGGAAAAACCCTTCTAGACACTGGCTTAGGCAAGTATTTCATGACCAAGAACCCAAAAGCAAATGCAATAAAAACAGAGATAAATAGCTGGGACCTAACTAAACTAAAGAGCGTTTGCACAGCAAAAGGAACAGTCAGCAGAGTAAACAGACAACCCACAGAGTGGGAAAAAACAATCTATACATCTGACAAAGGACTAATATCCAGAATCTACAATGAACTCAAACAAATCAGTAAGAAAAAAACATGGCCAAGGACATGAATAGACAATTCTCAAAAGAAGATATACAACTGGCCAGCAAACATGTAAAAAAATGCTCAATATCACTAATGATCAGGGAAATGCAAATAAAAACCACAGAGCAATACCACCTTACTCCTGCAAGAATGGCCATAATAAAAAAATCAAAAAAACAGTAGTGTTGGTGTGAATGCAGCGATCAGGAAACACTTCTACACTGCTGGTGGGAATGTAAACTAGTACAGCCACTATGGAAAACAGTGTGGAGATTCCTTAAAGAGCTAAAAGTAGAACTACCATTTGATCCAGCAATCCCACTACTGGGTATCTACCCAGAGGAAAAGAAGTCATTCTTCGAAACAGATACTTGTACACGTATTTTTAAAGCAGCACAATTCACAATTGCAAAATCGTGGAACCAACCCAAATGCCTATTAATCAATGAGTGGATAAAGAAACCGTAGTACATATATATGATGGAATACTACACAGCCATAAGAAGGAATGAATTAACAGCATTTGCAGTGACCTGGATGAGATTGGAGACTATTATTCTAAGTGATGTAACTCAGGAATGGAAAATCAAACATCGTATGTTCTCATTGATATGTGGGAGCTAAGCTGTGAGGACGAAAAGGCAAAAGAATAATATAATGGACTTTGAGGACTTGGGTGGAAGAGTGGGAGGTGGGTGAGGGATAAAAGGCTACAAATATGGTGCAGTGTATACTGCTCACGTGATGGTTGCACCACTCACAAATCACCACTAAAAAACTTAATCATGTAATGGCCGGGTGTGGTGGCTCACACCTGTAATCCCAGCACTTTGGGAAATCAAGGAGGGTGGATCATGAGGTCAGGGTTCGAGACCAACCTGACCAACATGGTGAAACCCCATCTCTACTAAAGATACAAAAATTAGCTGGGCGTGGTGGCAGGCACCTGTAGTCCCAGCTACTCAGGAGGCTGAGGCAGGAGAATGGCATGAACCCGGGAGGCGGAGGTTGCAGTGAGCCGAGATCGCACCACTGCACTCCAGCCTGGGTGACACAGTGAGACTCCGTCTCAAAAAAAAAAAAACAAAAAAAAAAACTTCCTCGTGTAACCAAACACCACCTGTACCCCAATACCCCAATAACTTATGGAAAAATGAAAATTTAAAAAATGCGTGTATTTTTATTTTTATTTTTATTTTGAGAGACATGGTCTCTCTCTGTCACTCAAGATGGAGTGCAGTGGAGTGATCATAGTTTACTGCAGCCTTGGACTCCTAGGCTCAGCCTTGAACTCCTGGGCTCAGCCTTGAACTCCTAGGCTCAGCCTTGAACTCCTGGGATCAGGTGATCCTCCTGCCTCAGTGTCCCAAAGTGCTGGGATTTCAGGTGTGAGCCATTGCCCCTGATCTAAATGCATCTAAAATAATTTAGAGAAGTGCCTTGGTGGGGACCATGCAAGTGGCAGAAATGATTATTTTTTTCAGTATTTTTTTCAGTTTTACTTAGACTAAAACTGTCACAAAAATCCTAAGAGGCTTAAGCGTGAGTGCAAAAAAAAAAAAAAAAAAAAAAAAAGATGAAGATAGTCCTGTTACACAAGTGCAAGAGGGTGAGAAGATGAACCATTAAAATGAATGATATTTAAAAGTACATGTATGTAATGTTATACATAAGCATCAGCACATATTGAGAATGCTCACTGAGTGGGTGTCCAACCTGAAAAGTTTGGAGAACACTGCTTCTGAACCTGGATGAGGACCAGCGAGCCTCAGCACAGGTGTGGGCTTCCTTTTGCTCCTCTCCTTTGATTTACTCTACTGCCCTTTGGGTTGGTAAGGACCTCAGAGGTCAACAGCCTTGTCCAAAGTTACACTGGTGCTCATTGGCCAAGCCAGGACTCTTCACTCCAAAGGCAGCTCCCAGCTGCTTTCCTGTCTGCCCCATTCTTCTTGGAGGTATGAAGAGGGACCCCAACAACCTTTGCACCTTGTCCACTGGTTACCTTCTGCAGCCCCCACCCCCTTAAAGAATAAGCAGGTTTTGGACAAGGGGAATTTGGAGCTGGGTCCTGCTCTGAATTTCATCAGTTCTGTTGTGTCCATAGTAGAGAATGCCTCACATGGTCCTTGTCCCAGTCAGGGCCATGTTCATGGGCTTTTTCTTCTGCCCTGGATTGGGAAGTGGCTGTTGTAGTCCTTAGGACCATGTCCAAGCAATTGCTAACAAGTAGGTGTGAAGTTGCCCATTGATTAATAAAAGACTCCATCGTTAAGCAAAAGTTTGTCTATATCTGAGTCCATATTCAACAAAAGCCATATCTGAGTCCAGGTGCAGTGGTTCATGCCTGTAATCCCAGTGCTTTGGGAGGCCGAAGTGGGCGGATCACCTAAGTTCAGAAATTTGAGACCAGCCTGGCCAACATGGTGAAACCCCATCTCTACTAAAAATACAAAAATCAGCTGTGTGTGGTGGTGGGCGCCTGTAATCCCAGCTACTTGGGAGGCTGAGGCAGGGGAATCACTTGAGCTCAGGAGGCAGATGTTGCAGTGAGCCGAGATCACACCACTGCACTCCAGCTTGGGCAACAGAGCTAAAAAATAATAATAATAAAAAAATTAAAAAGCCATATCTGAAAAGCCAATTGCTGTCATGATGGTTTTATAGGACAATTGTCATCTAGAGGTAACACATGGGCTTCCAGTCTAGGAGTTCATTCAATGTATAATAAAGGGCCCCAACCATGTTGGCTCATGCCTGTAATGCCAGCAGTTTGAGAGGTGGAGGTAGGAGGATTGCTTGAGCCCAGAAGTTCAAGGTTTCAGTAAGCCGTGTTTGCGGCAGTGCACTCCAGCCTGAGTAAAAGAGTGAGACTCTGTCTCTAAAAAAAACACAACAAAACAAAAGTATAATAAGGGACTTGTTGAGCATCTGTCACATGTCAGGTACTGTTCTAGGTGCTGTGGATACCAGGTTCCTGCTTGCTCATTCTAGTGGAGAGTGGAGAAACAAAAATATTCATCATGAATCACAAATCGTGGCAGTTGAATGACTGCCCACATTTTTTTATCCATCCTCCCTGTGGACACAGGCCTGCCTGGCCTCACTATGGATGGAGGGCATTTCCCCACTCTTTGAGTTTGGGCTTGATCACAAGGATATGCTTTGGCCCATAAAATGTGGTAGAAAGGATGTTGTGTCTGTTTTGAGCCTAGGCCTTGAGAGAGCCTAGGCCTTGAGAGAGTTCACATCTTTCTGCTTGCTCTATTGTTCCTCTGTTATTACCATGAGAAAAACGGGCCCAGTCTCATCCCAGCAGGAGGTTGAGAGACATGTGGAACAGAACGGCCTCCCCTGACCCACAGCCCTTCCATGAGGAGCACAGGTGCCCAGCTGAACCCCAGCCAACCTGCAGTTGTGAGTGATAATGAATGCCTGTTGTTTTTAACCATGGAGTTTTGAGGTGGCTTGTTACACAGCGATAGCTGACTGATACAAGAAGAGAATGGCGAACTGGAAACAGATAATGATGCAGTAGCAGAAGGAGCCTACTTTAGAGAGAATGGCCTGGAGAAGCCTGGTGAGGAGCTGACATTTAGGCTGAGATCTGAAGTTTGAGAAGGAGCTTGTCACGTAATGCAGGGAAGGGAGTGGAAACAGACAAAGGTCCTGAGGCTAGAAGGAACTTGTTGTGTTTCAGGAACTGACAGAGAAACTGCATGGCTGAAACAGAGTTTGTCAGGGAAATAGGGGTCTAGTGACCTTGTAGAAAGGCACAGGGCTTTTGAAGCCAGTGCAAGAGTTTGGATTCTATTTAGGTACAATGGGAAGTTTTTGAAAAGTTTTAAGGAGAGAGGGTGAGTCAGATTTTAGACTTTTAATAGATTATTTCTGTTCCTGTGAATGGAAGCAGGAACATCAGTTAGGAGGCTGTCGTAGACATCCAGATGAAAGATGATGGTAGTGAGTAGAAGTTGCTGAGAACTGGATTAATAATGCATTTTTGAGTGGGTATCATAGGATCTCAAGATTTCTGGCTTGGAGCGTGATGGAAAACTATGTCAGTTACCAATTCCTTTCCCCCAAAAAGCCATCCCTGGAAATCTAATGGAGAGAAAGGAAGGTAGATGGTGGGTTGGGCATGTGGCATTTGACTGTGAGCACACATACTGCATCAGTGCAGTAACTCATATTGTGGAGCACTCACTATGTTCTAAGCACTGCATTAAACACTTGGCATTCTCATACCAACTCCATGAAGCAGGTCAAGATCTCTACCTTACAGATCAGGAAACAGAGAGACCACGAGGATAAGTGACTTTCTCAAAGTCACACACAGCTGGTAAGAGAAGCAAAGTGTTCTGGGGCCTGGCACAGTCTCTGTCATGGCCATGCCCCAGAGGAGTGCCTCAGGTATCTGAATGGTGTTGCAGTTTGCCGTTGCAAGGCTTTCAGTTCTGAGCAATGGCCCCCAGTACTGTGGCACCAGAGCTTGGATACCTGGATGCTCAAGGCCCCTGAGTCCCTCTCGTGTGTAGGCTCATGGCATAAACCTTTCGGAGTCCTTGTCTACATATTCCTGGCCCCAACTTGCAAGCTTAGCTTTGCTCCCAGCTATGGATGGTGGCTGATGCACTTAAGAAACCTCTTTCTTGGTTAACACATGATTCCCCAGACTTAACATCTGCTTTTCAACAAGAGTTTTAAAGCAAATGGAAAAAAAATCTTGTCTTTTGGACCCAAAGTTTTAAGTCCCCTTTGAGATCTGGGAAGTCAAATTCTCGGGCTAGTGCCTGGTTTGATGGTGACGGGCATGGGAGTCTCTTGCATTTTTTAGGCATATTCCCGGGAATGGCTTTCTTCCCCCACTCCAACACAATGAGCTCTCAGGCCAGCTGTAACATCTCTCCAGGGGTCCTCTGATTTTCCTCCTTCTCTTTGTTCAGTCAGTTTCCTTTCCTGCCAGCTCCCATTCTTCCCACCAGCAGGAAGAGAGGACAAAACCCGGAGCCAAAGCTTCCTTCAGCTGGCCCGCACCATGCCCTGGACAGCTCTGAGACATGCAGAGAACAATGGAGCCCTGGAGAGCCTGGGGCCGGCTTCCTCTGGACAATCTTCATCCTCACCTGATGTTTTTGCTGAAGTCACTTTGCTCTCATGGAAAGGTGTTGGCAGTTGTGCCTTGGGGGGTGAGGTTTCCCTGTGTCCATATGGAGAGGGACCTTGTGTGCTAAGAAAGGGGAGGAAAGTTCGTGAACTTGAAATTCTCAGTATACTGCATCCCTGGTTCTTCGATCCCCCAAACAAGAGGGCAGAGCTCAAGGCCAGCCAGGTCTTGCCTTTCCCTGGCCTGTACCTAGAGACGAAGGTCCCGGCCCATATGGCCTCAGCCCAGGCTGGAGGCCAGTGCAGAGGCTCCTGCCTCTCTCTGCCTGAGTTCTTTCTCTGGTGTGCTTGGAGCCACCCTTACCCTGTGAGGCAGGGCTGTTGGTCAATAAAGGCTCCAGCTCCCTTGCTACTTGGTGGGCAGATTCTGAGGTGTGTCCTGTGGTGTCTCAGTGGGTCCCCAGGGTGGGTGGCACAGTGCTCCTCCCCACACTTCCCATCTCCCTTCTCCCTTCCCCATGTGCTCCCATGCAAAGCACTTGCATTCAAATCCTTGTCTCAGGCTGTGCTTCTGGGGAAAACCCAATCTTGGAAAAGTGCTGCTAGAGATCTTGTTTCTACTGGTAGTTATAGAGGGCAGGGGATGGTCATTTTGAGTGACAAGAACAAGTTGAACATCATAGAGATTTCCTTCAAGAATGAACAAAGCGTGGCTGGGGACAGTGGCTCATGCCTATAATCCCAGCACTGACTGGGAGGCTGAGGCGGGCGAGTCCCTTGAACCCAGGAGTTTGAGACCACCCTGGGCAACATAGTGAGACCCCATTTCTACAAAAGACAAGGAAAGAAAGAAAAAAGAGCAAAGTAGTTTGTAGCTCCAGTGGAACAGCCTGCTTCTTGCTTTTTAAATTTTTATTGAAGTATCACTTCCATGCAAGGAAGCGCACACATTTTAACTGTATAATTCAGTGAAATTTTCCATGTGTCTATGACTAGGTAGCTACCACCTGGAACAGGATGCATTTTGAACACCCTTGAAGTCTTCCTTGTTTCTCTTCCGAGATGAGGACCATCCTCTACCAGTATTTGAGCTTCCATCTCTATGGATTAGCTTTGCCTTCTCTTGAATTTCATTCAATGAAATTTTGGTTTTCTGGGGCCACTGTAACACATAACCACAAAGCATGTGGCTTAAAACAACCGAAACTGATGCTTTCAGAATTCTGGAGTTTGGAAGTCTGAAATCAAGGGGTCAGCAGGGCTGTGCTTCCCCTGAAGGGTCTAGGGGAGGATCCTTTCCTGCCTCTTCCTAGCTCCTGGTGGCTCCTGGCAGTCCTGGGTGTACCTTGACTTGTAGTGAAATCATTCTCCAATATCTGTCTCCATTATCACATGGCCTCATTCTCTGTGTCCTCTCCTCTTGTTATAAGAACCCCATTCATTAGATTCAGGACACATCCTAATTCAGGGTGGCCTCATCTTAATTTAGTTACATCTGCAAAGACCCCACTTCCAAGTACAGTCCCAATCTGAGATTCTAGGTGGATGTGAGTTTTGGGGAGATGCTATTCAACACCCTATGGAAATCATACAGCGCATGCCCTTGTGTCTGGCTTCTTTGGCATCATGTGTGGGCTCATCCATGCTATTGCACGGGGCAGCTGTTCACTCCTTTTCTTCCTGTGGAGTGTTCCATTGAGTGTCTATGCCACAAATTATGCATTTAGCCTGCTGTTGATGGACTTCACCTTGTTTCCAAAACGCGGCTATGATGACAGACCTGCTGTGGACATTGTTGTCTGTCTTTGGGTTGACCTAACACCCTTTCCCATAGGTCTTTACCTAGGACTGGAGCTGACAGCCTGTCTTTGCAGGTTGGTAATTAAACTCTGCAGGATTTTGGGGCTCCATTAGCCATTTCTGTCAGTGGGTGGAGGGAGAATCCACGTTGGGTGCATATTTGAATGAGCTGTTCCTCCCAGACTCCTGACTGGTGAAGGTCAGGGGAGGGGACTCCGGGCAGCTCCAGATCCCACTTGATCGTTCAGCATCTGAGGAAGACGCCCAGAGAAGGAGCCTCTCCCAGAGCTGCAGTGAGCCCTTTTCAGCAGGGGCAACTGGGCCCTCTCCTTAGCCAGGCGTGGCTGAGGTCTTATGGGAACCTGCAGTGCCTCACTGAGAGGAGAAGGTGCCCTAGATGTTCTCTTCCTAAAAGGATGTGGTAAATAGAACAACTTGGGGACTGAGCAGTCAGCGGGACTGGCGTCTTGACCAATAAGTAGAAAACATGATTGCAGACTCCAGTCTGGGTGACAGAGTGGGGCCTTCTCTCAATAAAATAAAATAAAATAAAATAAAATAAAATAAAATAAAATAAAATAAAATAAAATGCAAATGCTATAAAATTCACCCTCATAAAGTGTGCAATTCAGTGGTTTTTGGTATATTCACAGAGTTGTACAATCATCACTCTCTGATTCCAGACCTTTTTCATCACCCTGGAAATAAATCCCATATCTATTAACAGTCCCTCTCCAATTCCTCTCTTCCCTCTGGGAAGTAGATTGGAAACCACTAAGCTACTTTCTGTCTCTATGGATTTGCTTATTCTGGACATTTTATATAAATGGAATCATCCAGTATATGGTTCTTTGTGTCTGTTTTTTTTCACTTGTCTTAATGCTTTCAAGATTTACCCATTTTTCATTTCCCTTTATGCCTGAATAACATTCCATTGTATAGATAGACCACATTTTGTTTATCATCCTCCTGTTTTAATGTTCCCCTTTGAAATCTGGTCTCCACACGTGCAGCAGGTACAATCAATGACTCTCATTTTGTAGTAATTATTCCATCTTCAAAAACTCACCTATTTCCTCTTTTTAACGTATGTGTTAACTGATACAGAGCAGATATAAAGTGCACACATCTCAAGTGAGAAGGTTGCTAAGTTTTGACACATGTCTATACCTGAATGACCACCAGCCAGATGCAGACATAGAATATTTCATCTTCCCACTGGGCTCTCAAGCCTCCTCCAAGGCCATATCATCTGCCTGTACCTCCTTCC
Organism: Homo sapiens; assembly: GCF_000001405.40. Taxonomy (NCBI): domain Eukaryota; kingdom Metazoa; phylum Chordata; class Mammalia; order Primates; family Hominidae; genus Homo; species Homo sapiens. The sequence continues at coordinate 4,745,833 of NC_000020.11, read as the reverse complement.
CAAGGAAACCACTATTCTAGTTTCTATCACCTTAGATTAGCTCTGCCTACCCTTAAACCTCATAGACATGGAGCTGTACAATATATCATTTTTTGCATGACATTTTTGCTTAGCAATCAACCCATGAGATTCACTCATGCCGTGTGTGGTAATAGTCTCTTCTTTTTGGTTGCTGTGTAGTAGTCCATTGTATGGCTATGCCACCATTTAGCTACTCTTCTATCCATGGACATTTGAGTTACTTGTAGCTATTGTGAATAAGGTGGATATGAACATTTTTGCATGTATCATTTGGGAGCCATAAGCTCTCACGTCTGTTGAGTATTTACTGAGAAGTAGAATTGGTGGGCCATAAAATGAGCATGTTTAGTTTGAATAGATACTGCCCAGTTGTTTTCCAAAGTGAGCTGTGCCAATCCCACCAATAGTGCATGGGAGCTGTAGTTGTGCTACATCCTCATCAATGTTGGTGTCAGTCATCCTGGTACATAGTAGCATCTGGGTATAGTTTTAATTTGCATTTAACTGATGATGAGTGAGATTAGGCACCTTCTTATGTGCTTATTGGCATTTAGATAGCCACCCGTTACTTTTGAGTCATAGTTTCCTTTACAATGGGGCAAAGGGATCACGCCTTTCTTTTTCTCTTAGTTTCCTTAAAAATTCACCCTTGTCAATTTATACTTAATTACACAAGTATTGTATGGATACATTTTCATTGTTTCTTCACACCCTTGCTAACATTGGATATCACCAGACCTTTAAAGTGAGAAGAGAAATCAGTCTTACTGGTATTTTAATGGAATGTGCATTTCTCCAATTATTAGTGAGATTAAGTATTTTTTCTTATGTTTTTTGGACACTTGTATTTCTTCCATGTATTGCCTTTTCACATCCTTTGCCAATTTTTAAAATCAGGTTATTTCTCTTCCTCATTGATTCTGGAAGTTTTTTATACAGTCTATATAGGAATCTGTTATCTGTTATATATTGTAAATACTTTCTTTTCTTCTGTTGATTGTATTTTTATGTATTTATTTATTTTTTTCACATAGGGTCTCACTTTTTGGCTCAGGCTGGAGTGCAGTGCATTAAACAATAAGCTCTAATTCCTCCCCCTCCCAGCCCCTTGTAACTTCTATTCTATTTACTGTCTTTAAGAATTTGCCTATTCGAGCTACCTCATATAAATGGAATCATACAATATTTGTCCTTTTGTGGATATTAATCTTTTCATTTATTTATAGATTCTTTGTTTTTGTTTTTGAGACAGGGTCTTGCTCTGTTACCCAGGCTGGAGTGCAGTGGTACGATCATGGCTCACTGCAGCCTTGGCCTCCTGGACCCCAGCAATCCTCCCACCTCAGCCTCCTGAGTAGTTGGGACCACAGATATACACCACAATACCTGATTAATTTTTAAAATTTTTTGTAGAGACAGGGTCTCCCCCCATTGCCCAGGCTGGCCTAAAACTCCTTGGGCTCAAGTGGTCCTCCCACAGTGTTGGGATTACAGGCCTGAGTCACTGCACCTGGCCTTGATTGTATTTTTAAAAGACTTTTTTTTGTTTAGAACTGTTTCAAACTTACAGAAAAATTGAGAAGATAGTACAGGGTGTTCCCATATACCCATGGCCAATGTTCCCTTTGTTAACATCTTGCACGAGTAGGGCACATTTGTTAGAAGGAATGAACCAGCACTGATACATGATCATCGTGTCTCCTTGGGCTCCTCTAGCTGTGACAGTTTCTTAGACTTTCCTTGTTTTTGGTGACCTTGATAGTTTTGAGAAGTACCGCTCAGATATTTTCCCAAATGCCTATTTATTAAATTTGTCTAATGTTTTTCTCTTGACTTGACTGGGGTTATGAGTTTTTGAGAGGAAGTCCACAGAAGTAAAGTGCTGCTTTCCTCACATCACATCAGAAGTACATATGATCAACATGATTGATCACCACTGATGTTGACCTTCATCACCTGGCTGAGGTCGTATGTGTCAGGGTCCTCCACTCTAAGGTTACTCTTCTCCCCCATTCCATACTGTCCTCTTAGGAAGGAAGTCACTATGCTTACTCCACATTTAATGAGTCAGGAGTTATGCCTCACCCCCTTGAGGCAGAGTATCTGCATAAATTATTTGAAATTTATCAGTCCAAGGGACTTGTCTCTCCTCCCCCATTTATTAATTTATTCAATCATTTATTTGCAATAGTGAGGACTCAGGGGTATTTATTTTATACTTTGAATGATAATCCAGCACTGCTTTATTTTGTTGCTCAAATTGTTCCAGCTTTGGCCGTTGGGAGCACTCTCAGTTGGCTCCTGTGTTTCTTTGATGTAGCTCCATTAATATGCATTTGTTTTTTGATTGTTTTTGAGTGCCTCCTTATTTTCTGGCACTACAAAATACTCCAGGCTCCTCTTGCATATTTCTGTCAGAGGCATAGAATTGGCCATTTCTCCAAGGAGCCCTGGTACCTTTCACTGGAGAGTGTTATTAGAAACCAAGGTCTGGGTGCTAGGTATGCTTTTTGCTACTGGGGTGCTGTTTCTTTTAGTCCTTCTCAGATGACAGAGCAAGGAAATATTCATGTGTATACTAACCTGTGAATATCACATATCTATACATATTTCTATATGGAATCTTCTGCCCCTGTATTAAGCTAGACATGAGTTCATACTGATGCCTCCAACTCCGCTCTGTTACCAAGTGGATCATTCTAGCCTCCTCCCCTGGCTTATCTGTAAACTTGCATTCCAACAGTGAGCAACCTGGCTTCTACCATCCGCCATTTGTTTAATTAATTTTCGATTTCAGTATGCACGTATCAGAATTGTTAATGCATATCCCCATGAGAACAAACTTTATTAAATAGAGTAAGGTACAAAACTCATATGAGAGAAGAGGCCTTGGTGACTGACCATAGATGGGGTTATCTTAGCCTGCTTGTGTTGTTATAAAAGAATACTTAAGGCTTGGTAATGTATAAAGAAAATAGGTTTACTTGGTTCATGGTTCTGCAGACTGTACAAAAAGCATAGGACCAATACCTGCTTCTGATGAGGGCCTCCGGCTGCTTCTACTCATGGTGGAAGGGAAAGGTGAACCACTGTGGGCAGATCACATGGGGAGAGAGGAGGCAAGAGGAGGGAGGAGGAGGTTCTACACTCTTCAACAACTAGCTCTTGAGGGAACTAAGAGTGAGAACTCACTCCCATGAGGATGGCAGCAAGCCATTCATGAGAGATATACTCCCATGACCCAAACCTCCCAGTGGGCCCTACCTCTGACATTGGGGATGAAATTTCAACATGATATTGTCTTTGGAGGGGAGGCCAAATATCCAAACCATAGCAATGAATCTTATTTGCAGCTGGCCTGTGTTGGTTCAGTGCTTAACTCCAGTGGTATTTGGGAGTCTGGTAAAGACCCTCAGCCAAAATATTAATTGATTGTTCTTGCTGGTGATTTATAAGATGCTGTTTAAAGTCCAGAACTCCCTGGGAGGCATGCTTCAGCAGTATGTCTATATTATTTCTTAAACATATGTAGATTGATGATTTGCATTTGGTTTACATGTTTACCCAGCCTGATTTAAGCTACGTAATGAGTGGGGTATACAAAATCCCTCTGTAAGCTGTGCCTTAGCTTCCCAAGACCAAGGGATTACACACATATCAAGAAGAAAGTGCTCTTTCTCATGATATAGAAATATTTCTTCATGTTACTGATAATGCAATAAAGTGTATATGCTTCTGAGTGATTTGCTAATGTGTATGTCAGCAACACATTCAGTATCCAGAATGGCTTGAAGTTATGCCTTCAGGGCCAAAAATAACATAATGTTAAATTCTGTAGATTCAATAACAGAATTTATTAAGAAATCTGCACTGTGAGGTAAATGATTAAACACTGACTCTTTCTCAACATTAGATAATTCTTTTTATTCATCAGAGAAATGTGATTTATGACACATTTAAAAGCATGTTTAAGGCCGGGCATGGTGGTGTATACCTGTAGTCTCAATTACGTGGGAGGCTAGGGTGGGAGGATTGCTTGAGCCTAGTAGTTCTAGGCTTCAGTGCGCCATGATCACACCTGTGAATAGCCACTGCACTCCAGCCTGGGCAACATAGCAAGATCCCATCTCTAAAAAGAAATTTTGTTTTAAAGCATGTTTAAAACATACATACACCAGCCTGGCCAACATAGTGAAACCCTGCCTCTACCAAAAATACAAAAATTAGCTGGGCGTGGTGGCACGTGCCTGTAATCTCAGCTACTCGGGAGGCTCAGGCAGGAGAATTCCTTGAACCCGGGAGACAGAGGTTGTGGTGAGCTGAAATTGTGCCACTGTGCTCCAGCCTGAGCAACAGAGGGAGACTCTGTCTCAAAAAACAAACAAACAAACAACAAAAAAACCATACATAGAAATGTTCCAGTAGAATACAAAGAACCACTTTCTAGAACTGAATGCACCAGAGAGGATTAGAAACCCACTTATTCTCTCCCAGCTTCAAGTATTTAACGTTCCTACTTTTGCACGTGGCAGCCTTGCTGACTCAGATCCGAGGGCGTTGAAAGACAGATTCACAATTTCTGGTCCATATTTGATGCAAATATTTAGAACTATCTAGCAGAGCTTGCTGCCTTTCCAACAATCCAGTTAGTGAATTGAGAATGTTCTCATTTAATAGAAATGAAAGGTAAACGAAGGATCCACCTGGCCATGGGACTGGAGGAATGACCCAAGCCATGCTTCATAGAGGCACAGATAGACACCCTCAGGGAAGCCGAGACCCTTTGAAAAAAGGGCCTGGTGTGTGTATTTTCACACTGCCCCCTGCTGGCTGACACTGGAACATTGATTCTTCCTGCTGACACTGGAACATTGATTCTCCTGTGGCTCTAAGACGACCTAACAGGATGAGGCCAGCGGGCCCCCCGCAAGGAAACTTGAGCTAGAGGCAGTTGGATTTGGCTGAGACGCTCTCCTCAGGGAAGGCCAGGTCTGGGAGTGGGTTTGAACAGCAGTGGAGAAATAACTTCCATAGGGCATGTCAGAGTAAGTTCTAGTGTTTCCAAGAGAATGGGACAGGATCTTAGTGGAATTTAGAAGCCAGGCAGGTGGAAAAGCATTGAGGACCCCATCCCAAGGGCTCGAGTCCCTAGAGACAGCCTGGAAAGATTGGGTGCCAGCTGCAGAGAGGAGAGCAAGGCGACCAAACGCAGGGTAAGGTCTGGAGGTGCTCATAGTTCACTACGGGACATGTACATGGAAGTGAATAATTATGTCACAAGGTGCCAAGGGGGCTAGTTACCTCACATAGGATCTTAGAAAAGGTCTCCTGGAGACCATGTCTGAGCTGGTCCTGAGGTGTGAGTAGGGATTCTCCGCAGGGCGGGGAAGGACTTGAAAGAGTCTGGCAATATGGAGCACATCAGGATTATGGAAGGTGAGCTTGGAGAACAAGGCAGAGTCTAGCCTGTGAAAGGCCTCTTGCAATTTGTTGAGGATCCATGACCTTCTCCCATGCATGGTGAAATGCCCTTAAAGGATTTTGAATAGATTTAAAAGACACTCAAAAACAAAAAACGGTAGATTCAAAATAGACGGTAGGGATCGCTTTCTTCCGTTTTCTTTGAAGGATCAGAAGTGTTTACCACCACCTGGATTGTTTTTGGGCTTTCAGGTGAGTGGGAAAACAAAGAAATTCATGCCTGATCATGTTGAGCCACTTATATAATGTTGCTTTGACACTAATGGAGATGTAACTTCTTTTAAGACATAATAGAATCTCCTAAGTGGGTGTGGGAGTCGTAAGAAGGAGGAATCTGGGCTTCTACAAGCAAGATAGCATGTATTCATTTATTCAGTCAGTCAGTCGCTGGATCGATGCGCTTAGCTTTGTGCTCTGTGCTGGGTGCTGTGTGGGATATAAAAGAAGGTGAGGCCGGGTGCGGTGGCTCATGCCTGTAATCCCAGCACTTTGGGAGGCCAAGGCAGGTAAATCATGAGGTCAGGAGATCGAGACCGTCCTGGCCAACATGGTGAAACCCTGTCTCTACTAAAAATACAAAAATTAGCTGGGCGTGGTGGTGTGTGCCTGTAATTCAGCTGCCTGGGAGGCTGAGGCAGGAGAATAGCTTGAACCAGGGAGTCGGAGGTTGCAGTGAGCAGAGATTGCACCACCGCACTCCAGCCTGGCAACAGACGAGACTCCGTCTCAAAAAAAAAAAAAAAAAAAAGAAGCTGAAATTCCAGCTCTTATCCCCCAAGGAATCTGTACATCTGTACTCTGCTTGGGAATCCACAGAAGAAGGAAAGAATGCCAGCAAAGTAAGATCATGCTGCATGACCTCAAGATAGATGTTAAGGACATTTTGATGGGATAAAGGGAATCTTTGCTAGTTCAGAGATGAGCTTTACTGGCTTTGAGCTAAGTGATAGACATAAGTGGGTGGAGTGCAACTGGGGAGAATTTCAGGCCTGGGTAAGGGCCAAGTGTGAATGGATGGTCTCATGTAGGAAGCCATCAGGATAGGCATAGCAAATCCAGGAGTCCTCTAACGATGGAAGGAAGACCTTTGCTGATGTAGGAATCGCATTGCAGGTCAGTACTCCTCAGTGAACCTGGAGACCCTGTTGCTTCCTGTTCCCTACCTCAAGGCACTCAGTCTTACAACTTTGGGCTACCTCTCTGAGACAGTAGACTCTGGAGATACTAGCCATATCTTCATCTTTAACATTCACTCAAGATGAGCTGATAAAGCACCTCTTTCATGAAATAGCCCTATAATTTCTATGATTAGAAGTTGAAACTACTCTCATCACATCTTTTGATGTTTATATGAACACTCTTCTGTTAAAAAAAAGATTGCCCTAGTTTTTAGGGCTAATATTAGATGTTTCTGGCATATTCTTTACAAAGCCTTCAAACTAAGTTATGGTATAATATTTGCAATTAGAAAAACAAATACCCAAGGCATGTTTAGAGGTATTTATATGTTTTCTGGTGTCAATTGGAGGTGGAGAGGCCACCAGTGCTCTGAATCCACAAGCTAAGATGAGCTACTTGTTAGGCTTGGCTGTTTGGAATTGTCTGTTCTTTGCAAAAAGCAGACGAAATGAAGTTATGGTAGTTAGTGGGATGAGTGGGCCACCCAGAAAAGTCAAAGTTCAGGTTGGACTCATTTTCTCATGTATTTAAGTGTCTTTGCCATTTGTTTACCTTCTCCTGTGCCTCCACCTCTCATCATTAGGAGATGGGACCAGCATGCTCGGAAGCCCACTCAGCCTATGCACTCAGCAGGTTGGAACTATTAGGGAAGTATAGCCTTTGGGAGCTGTCCTTAACCAATGATGGACAGATCTTGGTGTATAAATTCCCCAGCTCCCTCGCCCTGCAGGCAGCATAACCCTGAGGAATATGTTCTACTCTGGCATCCAGGGGCCTCCCAAGCAGAGTGAAGCTCCGGTTGCCCATGCAATAAACATGCTAACACAGCCTTTTTGGGCTACCTTCCCTTCCCTTTTTCCATTCCCCACTTGCAGCATTTGCAGGGATCACCTCCCGAATAAACCACTTGTACATGAATCCTTGACTTGGCATCTAGTTCTTGGTGAATCCAGCCTCAGGCAATGAGTAACTCACATAGAGACGGCCTGCTATCTAAGTATAAGCGAAGATGAAGGAAGACTCTATTTTCTTTGGACCTGATCAAGTTTATTTACAATCTTCATTTTATTTTTATTATTTATTTATTTATTTATTTACTTATTTATTTATTTATTTAATTGAGACTGAGACTTGCTCTGTTGCCCAGGCTGGAGTGCAGTGGTGTGATCTCGGCTCACTGCAACCTCCACCTCCCAGATTCAAGTGATTCTCCTGCCTCAGCCTCCGGAGTAGCTGAAATTACAGGTGTGTGCCACTACACCCAGCTAATTTTTTGTATTTTTGTATTTTTATGGGGTTTCACCATGTTGGACAGGCTTGTCTCGAACTCCTGCCCTCAAGTGATCCACCAACCTTGGCCTCCCAAAGTGCTGGGATTACAGATGTGAGCCACCACGCCCGGCCTACAATCTCGATGTTAGACTTCACTTATTTTCTTCTGCTCTGTAACCCAGTGTGGACTGCAGTGGTGCAATCATAGTTCACTGCAGCCTCAAATTCCTGGGCTCAAGCAATCCTCCTGCCTCAGCCTTCTGATTAGCTGGGACTACAGGCATATGCCACCACACCCAGCTAATGTATTTTTATTTTTTGTAGAGATGAGGTCCCACTATGTTGCCCAAATATCCAGCCCTAAAAGATAAAATCCTGGTTTCTGCCAAAAACCTTGATGATGTTCTGTTTTCTTTCACCGAATTCAACATGTTTTCACGTAGAACAGTTTCAAACACACGTTTCATAGAAGCTCAGAAAAGACATTTTTGGGCCCAGTGGGCACTCACAGAAAGATACAAATATCCAGCCCTAAAAGCTAAAAGTAAGGTTTGTGCCAAAACACTTGATGACGTACTGTTTTCTTTCGCCGAATTCAACATGTTTTCACGCAGAATAGTTTTCAAACAAATGTTTTGTAAATGCTTAACAAAGACGTTTTTGAGCCTAATAGACTCATAAAATGATACAAATATCAAGGCCTAAAAGCTCATAGAAAGCCTTGGGCTTACAGAGCTAGAAAGAGATAACAAGTTCTTCCCATGCCACACAGCCCAGTGCAGGTTTATCAGGGAACCTTTTTCTGCTCCATTCTCTCACTTTTTCCTGGACTCTGCCCAAGTCTCATTTCTAATGTCCTAGGACCAGCTATGTGTCTGCCTTTGAGTCCCCATAGCAAATCCCCAAGTTCCTTTTGCACCTCTGATGTTTCCCTATCACTGTAGACTGTGGACTTTCCAGAGCAGGACGTTCTAGGATTTTTGCAAATCTCATTATACATAATTCCCCTTGCCAATCTCATTATACATGATTCCCCTCTAAAATTCAGTAAAGCTTGATTAGAAAACACACATGGCCACTCTTTAGGTCTTGACCATATACTCCAGGGGCAGCCATTTATAAAGCTCCCAAGGCACACCTGAGCCCAGCACTGATGCCACCCTTGTGCCAGGCCTGTCTTTTAGGGCAGATCAGACATCCTGTGACCATGCCTCAGACAGGCATTGGACATCTCCAAGAGCAACAAGTTCAACTCCTCATAGACCAGTGTATTCTTTTTACAAATTCATTATTTATTTATTTTTTAGAGTCAGGGTCTTGCCCTGTGACCCAGGCCAGAGTGCAGTGGTGTGATCATGGTTCACTGCAGCCTTGACCTCCTGGGCTCAAGTGATCCTTCTGCCTCAGTTTCCTGATTAGCTGAGATTACAGGCATGCACCACCACACTCAATGAATTTTTAAAATTTTTGCAGAGACAGGATCTCGCTATGTTGCCCAGGCTGGTCACAAACTCCTGGCCTCAAACGATCCTCCCACTTTGGCCTCTCAAAATGTTGGGATGACAGGTGTGAACCATTGTGCACCACAGAGAAGTGTATTCTTATTGATGAAAATGACAGTAATATTGGAACTGAGACCAAGAAGAATTGTCACGAGAATGAAAACATTGGGAATGGATTATTGCATCAAGCTCTTAGTGTCTTCTTACTCAACACCAAAATGAGCTACAGTGACAGCAGAGATCAGATGCTGAAATTACCTTTCGAGCCAGTTTCACCAATACTTGGTTGTAGTCATCCATTAAGTAATCCAGACAAGCTTGAGAGAAATGATGTCATTGACATAAGTTGAGTAGCACAGAGGCATCTAAAAGCTGAATTAGGAATTCCCATGGAAGAGGCTCCTCCAGAAGAAACCTATTATCTAATATCAACTTGCAGCGAAGTCCAATCTGATGGCATCTGGGGAGAACATAAAACTGATTATATTTTGTTTGTGAGGAAGAACATAACTTCGAATTCAGATCCCAGTGAGATAAAAAGCTATTTTCTGTGTGTCAAAGGAAGAGCTAGAACTTCTGAGAAAAGTAGTCATTGGTGAAATTAAAATAACACCATGATTTCAAGTTATTATAGAGACTTTTCTCTTTAAATGGTGGGATAACTTAAGTCATTTGAATCAGTTTATTGACCATGAAAAATATATAGGATGTGGATGTGGAGATAAATGATTAATAAAGTACTGAAAACTTTCTCTACTTAACCTTAGAATAGGCTGGGCACAGTGGCTCACGCCTTGTAATCCCAGTAATTTGGAAGGCTGGGGCAGGCGGATCGCTTGAGCCCAGGAGGTCGAGACCAACCTGGGCAACATGGTGAAACCCTGTCTTTACTAAAAATACAAAAAATTATCTGGGCATGGTGGTGCATGTCTGTGGTCCCAGTTAGTCAGGAGGCTGACGCGGGAAGATCGCTTGATCCTGGGAGGTCGAGGCTACATTGAACCATGATCATGCCACTGCACTCCAGCCTGGATGATAGAATGAGATCCTGTCAAAAAAAAAAAGACTGGCCATGGCGGCTCATGACTATAATCCCAGCACTTTGGGAGGCCGAGGTGGGTGGATCACCTGAGGTCAGGAGATCGAGACCAACCTGGCCAACATGGTGAAACCCTGTCTCTCTAAAAATACAAAAAATTAGCCAGGCATGGTGGCGGGTGCCTGTAATCCCAGCTACTTGGGAGGCTGAGGCAGGAGAATTGCTTGAACCCGAGAGACGGAGGTTGCTATGAGCCAAGGTCATGCCACTGCAACTCCAGCCTGGGCGACAGAGTGAGACTCCGTCTCAAAAAATAAAAAACAAACAAACAAAAAACCATAAAACCCCCAAAACTTAGAATAATTTGAAAAAAAGTTGGCTCCCAATTAGAATACTCATATGCCATCTTGATACTTTACATGTGTGAAAAACACATTTGCTTTCTCTTGTATCACACATACTATATATATGCACTGATATTTGTAAAAGTCATGTATAAGAGATCATTGTAAAAAAGAGAGAACAAATAAAAACTAATTTAACTGTCCAAACACATGTTCATGACAAGTTTGGACAAGTAGGTAAAGCTCTTCACTTTTCACATGTTGCAACAAACATTTTGAGAACATTTGTAGAGTGCTTTTCTATTTCCCAGGTGCTTTATATATAATTTAATTTTTGTCATAGTTCAGAAAAGTGTTCAAAGGAAACTATGTGCTTAGCTAACTCAAAACAGTTCTAATTAACTTTCCATATTAATAGATTAGACTGGTAGAGCAGATTCAAGAACAATTAAATGGTATATAAATAATATGTCCCAATTTCTATCTTTCTAAGCTGACTTTGTGGTTTAATCATTCTGGAAGTATCACTTGATACTTAAAGTCAACCATTGCTTTTGGTAATGACATTGGTTAGGTTAAACATTCTTTTAAGCAGTATATGCAAATTAGTCAAGTCTGTGTTTTCAGAATTACATTGAACAGAGAGGCTATTCATAAAATGGGAATTGAGTTGCACTTTACAACAGGGTTTCTTAACCTTGGCATGGTTGACATTTGGGCTGCATATTCCTTTGTTATGGGGTTCCATTCTATGCATTGTAGGATGTTTAGCAGCATCCTTAGGTTCTACTCAGTGAATGCCATTATCTCCTCCGCCCCGATGACAACAAAAATTACATCAGATATTTCCAAATATTCCCAGGGAGGCAAAGTCACCAGTAGTTGAGAACCACTGTTCTGCAAAGTCAAGCCATCTTGTAGGGAAAAAAAAAAAATAACAGAAAGAAAGGCTAGTGTTCATGTTAAACAGATTCAGATTATGAAATATGTATATATCAATATTTAAAATTTAGCCTTGATTAATGCACTTTTAAAAACTTGGTATAGCTAGATTTCTCAAATTTTAAATCTGAACACAGCTTTATTATCCTTAAAGGTTATATAATAATGTGTAATGAGAAAAAAATATATATCTGTTTCTTTTAAAGCTGAATGTTTTATAGATTCAATAGAATAACTCATGCTTTGCTAACCCTGAACAGTTAATTTATAATTTCAGGAGAAACTGCATAGCAAGTATTTATTTTATTGAAAAGGAAAAACAATAAAAATTACTACATAAAAAAATAAAGCTACTGAAATAGATCTTCCCCTAAAATAAATGACTTCACTCTGGAACAGGACTGAGTGACATTAAGCATGACTTTGCCCAATTCTGTAAAGCCAAGTCATGCTGCACAAGCTGGCACACAGAGGCCTGAGAAGATGTCCTGGAGTAGGAAGAATCCTGGGGGCTCCACATCCACCTTGGGAGGAGAAACAAGTGAGACAGGTGGTGAGGACAAGAAGCCTGACAAAAAGCGGAACCCAAATGGGATCCCTCAAGCTCATCAACATGCCAGATTTAACTCATTCTTTTTTTTTTGAGAAGGGTCTTGCTCTGTTGCCCAGGCTGGAGTGCAACAGCAGGATCATGGCTCACTGCAGCCTTGACCTCCTGGGCTCAAGCGATCCTCCCATTTCAGCTTTCCAAGTAGCTGGGACTACAGGTGCATATCACCACGCCTGGCTGAGTTTTTATTTCTTGTAGAGACAGGGTCTCGCCATGTTGCCCAGGCTGGTCTCGAACTGCTGGGTAAAGTGGTCCTTCCGTCTTAGCCTCCCAAAGTGTTTGGATAAGAGGCATGAGCCACCGCACCTAACCTAGACTTAACTCTTAACCTTCTTTTTCTCTTCCATTGCTCCTGCAGCTGTGGCTGCCTGCAGCCCATCCTGCCCCCAGCACCTAGAGTCATCTTTAGAAATGCAAGCCTGATCGTGGAATCCACCTTCCTAACACCCTTCAGTGCCCTCCTCTTCGTTACACCCTTACTATACAAACGATAGTCCATGGACCAGCAGCATCAACATAACCAGGGAGCTTGTTAGAAATGTAGAATCTGGTCCATCCCAAACCTGACGAAGCAGAAGCTGCATTTTGCCAAGATCCCAGGGAATTTGTGTGCCCGTTATGGTTTGCGAAGTGCTTCCCAAGAGAACATACGGCAAGCCAGAGGGATCTTTGCAGATCTTGCTCCTTTCATTCTCTGGCCTCATCTTGTCGCTCTCCTCCATCCGTGCCCACATCCCCACTGTACTGGACCGCTTGCAGCTCCTTGAATGCAGCATAGTCTTGTTTTCTTTTTTGCAGTGATTCTACATCTTTCCCATCTTCTCCACCTGGATGCCTCCATCCATCCTTTCAGACTTCCCTTCTCTAGCAAACCTTTCTTGCTAATTCCCATGTCTAACACAACACTTCCCCATACTGCATGGCCATTATCCTTTCTGCATCAGACTGTGAGCACCTTGAAGGCAGTGGCAGTGACTCATTCATTGTGGCATCTGCAGATTCCAGTGGACTGCCAGGCATGCAATAGAAAATCAAAAAAGATTTACTGCTAAATAATCCTCAACTCCAGTGGCAGCTCCATGTGCCATTTCTCTTCCGCTCTGGCCTCGGCTCTTCCTGTGCCTACCTGGGGCTTGGCTTTCACCTAGGTGTCTGCATGGAAGGGAGAGCGACCTGGAGGACCATCGCCAATCCATCAATAGCCTCCCGGTTGAGATGACTTCAGCTCTGATTTGGAAGAGCTATGATATTGTTTATAGGAGTGAATTAATATGTGTAAAGGTTACAAAGTAAACAGTTAAATTAAATTAATTGTGCTGGAGCAGGTCAAACAGGCTTCTGAGAGATGAACATACACATCTCTATTAACTCCACATTCAGTGAGTGTGGGTAACTTGAAATTGGCTGGGTCACCATTTACATCATAGAAATTGGCAAATAGTACAAATTAGGGCTCCCTCACCCCTACTCGGGCATAGAGCTGGTACACTAGCACACCTCTGGTTATACATGCATGCGTGTGCCACCAGAACAAAACACCTAACAGCAGGCACGTTGCCTCTGTTGCCCACCATTACAGCTCCCGCACGGAGCAGACAGACTCATGGCAGGAATTGAATGCATGTTTGTCGAGTGGAAGCATGAACAAATCCACAAAATGCCCAAGATGAGGCAAAGAAGGACATTGGCTCAAATGTTAAACATAAGTTAGGAGCTGAGATAATGCCCAGAGGAAAAATGTTCTGTAATTCTAAGTAAAACCCATCTCTAAGGCAGGATGCTGCTTATGAGGGCTCCACAGACAGATGGGGGAGGCCTGGGTCCTGCCCTTGGAAAGAGTCTGACAGCTCGACTTCTGGAAACAGCCATCTGCACAGGTCAACATCTTCTTAGCTGACAGGGAGCAGATTTGCAGACCACATCACATTTGAAATTCCAGAAGAAACTTCTTGGAGTCTGCTCTTGTGCAAATGAGCCTAGAAAGCCCGTTAACTTTGGGTGGAGGCTTCCACTGTTTGGCTATCCCAAGTGGGCCCAAAGCTAAGGAAAACCCACCAGCCCTTTGCTTCCTGCTTCCTCTATTTGTTTGCCCCAGGAAATCAGAGGTGATGACATGATTTGGCTTGGGCACGACAGGAATAAACGATATTTAAGAGACGTCATAAGCGCCTCCATTTTGTTCTTGATTGCTAAGTAGCCCCGAACCAAAACAGCCAATTAAAAAAATTAGAATCTTAATTACAGATTTCGAAATTCCAGCACACCACAACCGACATGGCTTGCACCTAGCCGGGACCCTGCCTGCACCTTACCCTCTGCTTCGTTCTTGAAAATCCCTCTCCTTGGTGCTGAATGTTATTTTTTTGAGCATGGAGCCCCTGGTTGCAAAACACCCTTCCCTGCTGGATGCTGGTGTCACCTCTGATAAGCCTGTGCATGTAATTCTCCCTTGGACACGGGGTGTATGGAAGGTCTCCTCCCCGCAACCAGTACCTCCCCTCTCCCTCCCCACCACCCACCTCCCACCATCAAGGGAGGGCAGCTGTGTGAGTTCATGTGGCCTTGAACTGCCTGCTTCCAGCTTCCTCTAGTTCCTCTCTGGCCTTCTGCCAATTTCCTTCGACAGATTATAGCCAAACCTGTTGGAGTCAAAACAATTTGCATTGTTTAAGAAAGCAATGCTTTCTCACAAAAGGGTTTGCATTAAAACAAGATCTGGGAATCCCCAGGACGGATGGGAGGGCGGGAGGGGCGGATGGAGGGATGAAGTTCAGTTTAGGGTACAGGGCATCTTGGAGGAGGCAGTGACACTTGCTAGAAATGTAGAATCTGGGACTCAGCGGGGTGGCTCACGCCTGTGATCCCAGCCTTTGGGAGGCCGAGGCAGGCGGGTCACCTGAGGTCCGGAGTTCGAGACTAGGCTGACCAACATGGACAGACCCCTGTCTCTACTAAAAATACAAAATTAGCCTGGCGTGGTGGTGCATGCCTATAATCCCAGCTACTCAGGAGGCTGGGGCAGTAGAATCGCTTGAATCTGGGAGGCAGAGGTTGTGGTGAGCCGAGATGACACCATTGCACTCCAGCCTGGGCAACAAGACTGAAACTCTGACTCAAAAAAAAAAAAAAAGAAAAAAGAAAAGAAAAGGAACGTACAATCTGGTCCACCCCAAACCTGCTGAAGCAGAAGGTACATTTCACCAAGATTCCAGGGAATTTGTGTGCCCATTACAGTTCAGTCCAGGGAACAGGGATGACACTTGAGTATTGGAGGATGAGCTCTTTTGGGGGGTCAGCTTTGTGCTGACCAGGAAGATCCCTTTAGAAGGGGCATGGTCAGTGCATGGGGCTCATTTCAGTCTAAGGCCTCTCATCCAATGCCAGAGGAGCACATTCTCCACCCTCTGTTTGGGGTCTGGGGCTCACTGTGGGAGGGAGGCCTCGGGGCTTTAGTGCTCTGGGGGTGGAATCTCGGTCGCTTCCCCGTGCATGCTCCTGCTCCAAAGTGAGGCTCCCTAAAGCCACGGGCCCAGGGGAAGGCTCCCATTTGCCAAAGCTGAGTCTGTTTTTCCGGGGCAGTCTTTGGATGATCTGGAATGTGCTTTGAGATTTCTCAAAGTCATAGTATTTTAGTCTCATTTTGCAGGGAATATCTGAGTTATTCCCATTTTGTAGGGATGCATTCCCAGAGGCATGAGGGTTGGGCTCCTTTTTCTTCCACTGGGGAAGCTGGGTGCCCACTGAAATGGGGTCTTCTGCCAGCACTGAGGATAAGGGAAGAGGAAGCCCTCGCTCTTCTCTGACTCGTGGCCTCTGGGGAGACAGCAAACTCTTAGCCTCTGGCCTGAGCCAGGCTCACCAAGAAGTCTGTTCCTCAACAGAGTGGTGTCTGAGCCAGAAAAACTGAAACTGGTCATGATGCCATGTCTGTGTAAGTCTTGATCACTCGCCTGGCAGGTGTGGTCTGTGACAGTGCTGGTTACATGAAGGCACATGGGCCCTGCTGTCACATTTCAGTAGAGACTCTGGTAGACTCAGGATGTGTCATGCAGCAACACAGAGACAGCTTAGGGTGCACGTGTCCATCCATCTACAGCCATGACAAAAAAGTCTTGGGTGCAGGAAAAAGATGTGACCACACCATAGGTACGATGTAGGGCCTGGGGTCCTTGACCCAATCAGCCACCACCCCAATCCAGTCACTTGTTGTCAGAAAACTTGAGGTAGAGCGTGTGGGCGGCTCAAGACAAACTTAAGGTCACTGCCTGGGACACCCTATTAGGACCAGAGGGTGAAGTTTCTAGACATTGTCAGGCATATCCTAAGCAAGGTAGGGTGTGAGGGGCACCAGGGAAATGCTGGTTGTCTGCCAGAGCCTGGAGGGGAGGAACAGCATGGGCTACTTTAATAGTGTTCTCAATTCTCTGCTCCTTTTGAGCTTTTGGATCTAGAGGGTATTCTGGCTGGAATGCAAATACTTGCATGTGTAATTTTAGTAAAAGTCAGTAAAAAGGCCAGGGCATAACCTCACCTCAAGCCTTCCCAGTTGCTGGGGTGTGTGGAGCTGTGCAGACACACCACCCTCTGAGTTGGAAGCCTACACACTCACTGCCTGTTTTCCAGGCTTCTCATGCAGATGTTTTGGGCCAAGGACCAGGTTTAGAATGAGAATTGCTAACAGTTTTAGGAGGATTTTCAAATGGTCCTCATGGCCGAAAGTTTTAGAGAGCTTTAGGTGTGCCGTTTGCAAAAGAGAGAAGATGTGTAGGCAACATTTGTAGAAAAGGTGGCTTCTCATAGTTAAATGACAGAAACTCTTCCAAATTAATGCCGTAAACAGCTGGTGGGAATAGGATTTGCTCCAGCTATGTGCGAGCATAGCCCGGTCATGGCTGGTAAAATTTAAATTACACACAGGCTTTGTTCCAGAAATTTTGCACGTGTGAATCTATTCCACAGAAACAGAAGTACCAGACTGCAATGTAGTATGTACAAGGATGTTTATTGTTTGCAGTGGCAAAAAACTGGAAATAATCTGAAGGCCCATCAACAAGGCAATGATTCAATCAATCATGATACATCTGTATTAAGTGAGATTACGTAGCAATCCAAAAGAATGAGTCAGCTATCTAGATAGCTGTTGTTCCAAAGAGTTTCATGATGCAATGTTAAGTTAGGGAAGCCAAATTGCAGATGAATAAATATTTTACATACATAGTATTTTTAAAAGGCATAATCAAGTTAAAAAGCCCTCACTTGTGTATCTGAGCACAGTTAAGGTGGAGCCTACATCTCAGGCTGGAAGGAGGGGACAGGACGGGGGAAAATGGGTGGGGAGGAAAGAAAACAAAGAGTAGGCAGGGCGTGGTGGCTCACACCTGTAATCCCAGCACTTTGGGAGGCCGAGGCAGGTGGATCACCTGATGTCAGGAGTTCGAGACCAGCCTGGCCAACATGGCAAAACACTGTCTCTACTAAAAATACAAAAAAATTTGCAGGGCTTGGTGGTGGGCACCTGTAATCCCACCTACTTGGGAGGATGAGGCATGAGAATCGCTTAAGCCTGGAAGGTGGAGGTTGTAGTGAGCCAAGATCACGCCACTGCACTCCAGCCTGGGCAACAGAATGAGACTCTGCCTCAAAAAAAAAAGTATAGAAAAATGAGTAGAAAGCATTGAATTAAGTTAAGTAAAAATTTAGAATATAAAAGCTCACTTTTTTATTGCAAATATGAATGTTTACATACGCAAATGCTTAAGAACTAGGAAAGTGCAGGGGAAACAGCAAACACTGACTCAATCAGATGCTGGGATTGTTGTATTATTTTGGTCTGGAATATCTGTTGTAATTTTCATGTCACTTTTACAATAAACTTATATTTTAAAAAGTCAACACTTAGCAGGGGCTACGAAAGCAACGGTTGGCAAAATTATGCACACTGCAAAATGACGATATCCAGAATAATTCAGAAGCCCCTCCCAATGTCTCGCACATAGTAGGCACCCCATTGCCCCTTTGCTAAAGTGAAAAACTAAACTCAGCCTTTATTCCACCCCATGATTCATCAACTTGAGCAAGAATGTTCAGGCACACACGCGTTCGATTAAAAGCCCCATAAACAAATTTTGCATTTGAATCACCATATACACATTCACGTCATGCCCCACTGAAATCTGGTTGCCGGGACTATTAACAGAATGAGAAAAGGCAGCAATTACAGAAAATGAACGACATCATGGCCTAAGCGTTTTCACATCAGAAATGAAGTCATTTGGCTGACGTGGCTGCACGTGCTGTTGTAATTAAACTTAGGAGAGCGAGGAAGTGAAATGTCAGTGTCAGCCTCTGAGTACTTTCTCTTTCTTTCTCTCTTGCCATGGTTATTATTTTTTTAATTAGAAAGCAGGAAATAACCGTAGAGGATATGTTCTGTACTTTTTTCTTGCTCTCTGATCTAGAATTAACAGGACCGTGGAAGCAGAAGGCGAGTGTAGCTCTGGCAGTGACGTGAACCCCAGTCCTGGCTGCAGGGTGGACGTCTCCTCCATGTGCCCAGTGTAAGGCTGTTTCTTTGTGCTGCTCTGCCCCCAAGTCCTCCGCTCACTTTCAATGTTAAAACCTTCCAAATGTGTCCTTGAGAAGAACACTGATAGCTGAGGGGACTCAGCACAAGAGGTGCCCTCATCAGCACTCATGTTCTGCAATGCTTTGGATAAATTGTCTGATAAAATGCATGTTCCCCCCTTACAAACTCTCTTTAAAGGAGAAATGATAATATTCAGTGGCTGTTTTCTCCAAATATAGTTCAACAACTCCTGGGAGTCTCTGAGAGTGGCCTGGAGCGCCTGTAGGAGCCTCTTAGAGCATTCAATTCATTGTTTTAAATTTAAAACAGATCTTAAACATTACTCATATTGTGTTATATATATTTTTAGCTAATAAGGTGGTGTATCAACTCCTGCTTATGGCATGGATTGCATTCTTTATTGGGTCTCCCTAAAGACACAGCTTTATTTTTTAAAGCTTTTTGGTGAGTAATTGTATTTTTGTAGTGACAAGTGGTTTACAGAGATGATGGCCTTCATTAGGCTGTCTTGAAAGAAATGAGAGACTTTGCATAGAACACAGATGTAAAGGGATTATATTTAAAGATACTCATATGAGTGCACATAAAACATGCATGTAGGGTTAGGGGAACATTAGAAGCAAATATGCCACTAACATTTTGTTTTTCTTAAATACATGCAATGTTTCAGGGATGGGAACAGCAAGCACTTACCCTTCTTTTGAAAAAAAAAAAAAAAAAATTGAATCCCAGCACTATGGGAGGCCCAGGTGGGTGGATCACCTGAGGTCAGGAGTTCAAGACCAGCCTGGCCAACATGGTGAAACCCTGTCTCTACTAAAAATACAAAATTAGTCAGGCATGATGGCACACACCTGTAATCCCAGCTACTCGGAAGGCTGAGACAGGAAAAGTGCTTGAGCCTGGGAGGCAGAGGCTGCAGTGAGCCAAAATCATGCCGTTGCACTCCAGCCTGGGCAACAAGAGTAAAACTCCATCTAAAAAAAAAAAAAAAAGAGAAAGAAAATCTTCATGCCACAGGCACATCCTGCTGTATATGTGGTCTGCTCTGGGAATCAGCTTCCAATAACATTTCCTTACAGTATGATTTCTGGGCCTTTGTCTAGCTTTACTTGTATTTTAGTTTAATTCCTTTAATCTATTTTAGTTTAGTTAGAAGGATTAAAATAGCCTCCATGTACCAGTCAAAGTACACAGCCACCAGCTCAGGTGTTTTCATTTATTTCTAAACATGGAGCTTTCACAATTTCATTAGAGATACATGTTTGGATGTGGGTCCCTGTGAGACATAAAGTGATCACCAGACAGCTCTGGAATTGGACAGAGCAGAAAACCTGGGGTTAGACAAGCCAGGGTTGAATCCTGGCTCTGCCACTTTCTAGCTGGTGATGCTGGGTGCAGTACTTCAGCTCTCTGGGCCTCAGTTTCCTTATCTGTAAAACGGGAATACACCTACCTCTAAGAGTTGTTGGGAAGTACTGTGAAGCAGGTGGCGCAGTGCCTGATGTGTTCTTCTCATCAAGCATTTACTACTAATCTAGTGTGCCAGACGCTCTGCTAGGGGCTGAGAATGGAGTGACGGAGAAGCCACAGTCCCCCATCTATCAGAACGCAGGCACATACCAGGGCGCATACGTGAGAGCGGCATTTGCAGTGCGAGTGCATCGCCGCTCCTGGGCACCTTCAGAACACGCGTGGGTTTGGGGGAGAAGAGCTGGGTCACTTGCCAGGATTTGCTCGCTGCTGCACTCTGTACTGCCAGCCTCCTGGCAAGCTTATTTCACCGTGAGCCAGATCAAAGCCAGAAGGCAGAGGAGCACTGGCTGGTGCATGGTGACCCGAAGTCCTGCGCCCCTCTCCAACCAAAACTCGCAATGCTTGAGGGAGCAGAGCTCCTGGACCAGCCGCCAGAGCACCTGCTGGTGGAGCTTGTTGTCTGGCTTCTGGAACTCCCCCTGGTTCGCCGCCTGGGTGGCATTGATGCAGCCGGTGACAAATGCCTCCTTGGTCACATTAGCCTCAGAGCAGCCGTTGTAGTGGATGCCATCGGGGAACTGCCAGTAGTTGGCCTCGTAGTACCTGTTGCCCTCGGCTCCGAAGTCAATGTCGAGCTTGCGGCCTTGCTTGATGAAGGCTCCCGGGCGGTTCTCAGCCACCTGGGCCTCAGTGATCTGGGCAGTGCTGGGCAGGGCCTTCCGGTTCCACTTGATTCTGTGCTTGATGCCCCTCGTCTGGACCGCAGAGAGGTGGCTGAAGAGCAGCATGCAGACAGTGGCCAGCCACCACCAGCTCAGGTGCTTCCTCATCGCGTCAGAACCTGCCAGAGAAACGGCGGTGGGTCAGCTCCCCACCAGGCCTGCCTGGGCTCCCCTGCCCCCTCCCAAGTGCAGGAGATTTTAAGGAAGGAATCGCATCCTTGTGCTATTTATGTGGTCTCAAAAGCATAATTGTTTCCCCATGTTTGGGTTGTGCAGGGTTAACTCAAACACCGAGCTCCTTTGCTATTGCTAGGATTACATTCACTCAGGGCTCTGGTCCCGGTTTCCGAGACAGGTAAGAATGGCAAAGGGCAATTATAGTGGCTTTGAATACGCATGGGAAAATAAAGGAGTGGTGACTTAATACATGTAGGTTTTCTTTGATACTCCCAAGTCTTTCAAATCAAGAAATCCCTGGGAGGAAAATACAATAGAAGAGTTGGAATCAAATGCTGGTGGGCATGGACTATATGTGTGTGTGTGTGTGTGTGTGTATACACGTATATATATACACATATATATGTATATATACACGTATATACACACACATATATACATATATACACACATATATGTATATATACACACATATATATATACGTATATGTACAGACACACACACATACACACACACACACACACACACACACACACACACACATATTTTAGAGACAGGATCTCACTCTGTTGCCCAGGCTGGAGTGCAGTGGCATGATCATAGCTCATTGCAGCCCTGAACTCCTGGGCTCAAGCAATCCTCTTGCCTCAGCCTCCGGAGTAGCTGGGACTACAGGCACACACTACCACACCCAGCTAATTTTTAAATACATGTTGTAGAAACGGGGTCTCACTATGTTGCCCAGGCTCAAGTGATCCTCCCACCTCAGCCTCCCAAAGTGCTGAGATTACAGGCACGAGCCACTGTGCCGACTTTAGATTGTACTTTCAATCTCCCCTCTTTGTTCTTTATTGCTCTGAGCTGGCACTGTCTTGGGGGCATTCTGCCATCCATTCTGAGGAATTCACTGGCTGCTGATCCTAAAGGGCTTTGCAGTAATGAGAGAGAGAGGAGGAGGAAGGAAGGGAAAGATGGAAACGTAGCAAAGGGACCCCTGCCTCCCCTATGTCCAGGGGTCAAGTGTGCTCCAGGCATCCTTTCCAATCTCACCCCTGGGGGACAGTGTGACCATCTGCTTATCCTACTGGCTTTTTATTGCATACTTTCTTCATGCCTGCCACCGTGTTAAGCTCTTCTCTGACATTGCCTAACTTAATTCTCACATAGAGTAGGTACATTATTATCCCCATGTTATAAATGTTGTCCTGGGATTCAGAGAAGTTAAGTAATTTGCCCAAGGCTGCACAGCGGGGAGGTGGCAGACCTGCACTGGGCTCTGTCTAATGCTGCACTGCATGTGTCCACTAGCCATGCCCCACTGCCCATCTGGGTTTCAGGAGAAGACAGTGCTCACACACTGTGCTTTTCACTCACTGGGTATGATGCCCCCTGAGCTGGGCAAAGGGCAAAGGGCAGGGCCCTTGAGGAATTTCGGAGAAAACGAGATGAAAGGGAAGACAGGAGGGCCTGGGGGAACACCAGGAGGGTCCCGGGTCAAGGTGGCCCTGGGACATCCGAAGGGCTGCCACTGATGTCATGGAAAAGCCCCTCACCCCACACCTTAAGGTTGCCTGTCACATTCGGCTCCTGAATCTACAATAGCCATCAAGGAAATCCACTTCCCAAGGCCGACTGTCAGGGCATTCTAGCACCTGGGTCTTTGCCTGTGTGGATTAGGGAAATGGAAGGAGTTCCCATACCGGAGCTTGCCTAAGCTGTCTCCTAGGCAAAGACTTACTGTGAGGCCATGGGGCCCCAGAGCTGGAGGAGGCTGACAGGGAGCTTGTTTCGCCCCTCACACACCCTCCACCACCCTGCTGCAGCTTCCCTAAAAGTGGCTAATGTTCCTCTGATAAAATGTTCAACTCTGATGCCACATTGCTCCTTATATTAAAAAAAAAAGGCAAAACACAGCTGAAGTGATCTCTAGAAGCACATCCAGTCATCTCTAGAAGCCTGCAAAGAGGCCTCACTGACCTTTCCTTGCTTGTAGACATCGCCTCGTCTTTGTCCCAGGGTGGCTATGAGCATCTGGACCCCCTCACCC
Organism: Homo sapiens; assembly: GCF_000001405.40. Classification (NCBI taxonomy): domain Eukaryota; kingdom Metazoa; phylum Chordata; class Mammalia; order Primates; family Hominidae; genus Homo; species Homo sapiens. The sequence goes on along the minus strand of NC_000020.11, from coordinate 4,722,434 downwards.
CACTCTCTCTGCCTCCTGAGCACAGTGAACTCAGACTGACTTTCTCCAAAGAGATCCAAGCATGAAGCAAATATTCATTAGTCTCCTAAATAGGGCCATACTCCACATCATTCCTTTTTTAAGGAGAAATCTTAAATAAGATTAATGGCATAATAGATCATTTCAGGTGAGTCAAATAAAAAAAATAAAAGCACAGCATTCTTGAGAAAGAGATTAGTTTTCATAGGCAGAAGCTTAAAGGCAAAACAAAATCCCAACCCACAAACCCTAAAGTAGCATTTTATTATAGCACCAACTTAGAGAAAGGCAAGCCCAGTGATGACTGGGTATCCTCGCAAGTCTACCCTGAACTTGGGACCCATCCCCAGGTGTGGGAGTAAAGAAATCATTGCATGATTTTCAATCTGGGATCGAGCCTTGATAAGAAACCAGCAGTCCTGACCACAGAAGTGGCCCCCCACGTACCTTGGCTCTCTCTGGAGTGTGCCTCTGGAGCCTCGAGCTGCACAGTCCCCCAGCACACCCTCTTGGCAGCCAGGTCCGCCCAGCTATATAGGAGCTGCCGGGGGAGGTGGCATTCCTGCAGGTCTCCAAATAAGGCAGCCCTTCCCTCCCCGGCAGACCAATCAGGGCTTCCTGGACCACTCCTTCATCCTGAGAAGGATGGACCTTCTCATCACACTTTACTAAGGAAACCACGTGAAAATCTTGATGAAGTTCAGCAAGGCTTCAGAGGTGCCTTTTAGAATTGGAATGAGATGTGTTAGAAGGAAAATGCTTTTCCCATCAATATCTATGACAGATGTGGCTTCAACAAGCCTCGCTGGACATGCATAGTGTCCTGTACCTAAAGGCCGGCCTTGGACAGCAAAGCAGTCTTTGCTGACAGCCTCTGTGGGGAGGTTCAGCTCAAAAAGAGGGCAAGCGTTCACCTGGACCACCACGCCCTGAGGATGGGACCAACAGGGTGTGTGTGTGGTGGTGGGGGGGGGGGGCGCCGGGGGGCGGTTACACTTTCATCGGGTAGTGGGAAAACAGAACTGGTAGGTATGGGGTGGAAGACACGTGAGAAGACTTCCTGGCATGTTGGGCGAGGAATGCTTGAAGGACTGAATTAGCCCAAAGGCCAATAAGTTAAAGATCTGCGGGAACCCCGGGAGCAGAGACACATTGACACGCAGCCAGTCCCCTGGACAGGTGGTGCGGGCTGAGGGCGAGTTCTGCAGAGTGCCTTCTCCTCTACATGGTGTCCGAGCGCTGCGCAGAAGGGGCTGGAGGTGCATTCCTGGGCTTTCCAAAGCAAGAGACTCATTGGTATTGGGTGACCATTTTGGGCCTTATACAGAAGGGACTTGCTCAGGTGTCCCTGTTACAGTTAGTACTGCAAGGCAAAGTCAAAAGTGAATATGGGAGCAAGTATGGGGCCAGATTTTCCTGTAAACAGAATGCGATTTTTATGCTGAATGTGACCCCGTCAGTGTTCACGGTGGATTTGCGTCAGAGCAATTTTGCAAACCAAATTAAACGGTTGTTATCGAGAAGGACAGCAGATAGCGCCAGAGAGCTGACAAAGACCGCAGCCGGTCGGTGGGAAACCCGGGCTTCTGGGCTCTGGGTGGATTTGGGGCCTCCGGTTGGGCCTTTCTTTCTCCTCTGACTTTAACATTTGTTTCACTTCCCCACTTTTTTTTTTTTAAGAACTTTTCTATTTCCTTTCTAGAACCACAGACTTTTTGTGCTTCTGAATACACACAAAACAGAAACACAGTAGTGTAATCTTAGTACAGACTGTTTGCAAAATGGAGATGAAAAAATCAAAATCTCCTAATAGTTCAGTACCCAGAGACAAATGTCAGGACAATTTTGTTTCACATATAGATACTTAGGGCCACAGTGTTTAGAGCTAGAAAGGACTCAGAATTCTGTGGTCCAGCTCCTTTGCATGGTGAGCTCACAGGCCCAGATAGGCTCAAGGTCACCCAGCCAGGCCGGCAGTGCAGCCTCGGCAGGCTCGTTGTCCCATTGTGAACTCTGTGCACTATCCCCCTGCCTGTTCCCACTAGACACAATCATCTCCAACCCCCTCCACCCCTCTTCTTCCTATTCCCTTTCTAAGCAGGACTTTACCCAGAGAATGGTGGGAGGTTGGTTTAGAGCTGACGTGGCAGCAGATTCCTCTTGTTAGTGAACAAAAGGCTGTTTACAAAGGCACAGAGGAATGGGGAAGACTGAAATTGCTACAGAAGCAGGGAGGAGCTCTGGAAGCTGCAAACAAGGCAAGAAAACAATAAGCAGATGTGGAGAATGTGGAGCCGACCCAATGCTGCCTCGCATCCTCCCTCCCTGCCTGTAAAGATCGACAAACAGACCAAGGAATTAGTGTGAGAACATTCATTTCTTCAAAAGAACTGAGAGACCAGGGCCAAGTGAATTACACTATGTTACATAAAGTGGATTATATTATATAGTCTGGGAAATAGAACTGTGTGTAGATCATCTTTGAGAAAGCAGGAAGAATGAGATGGAGACCACAGATCTGGGTGTTCTATGATGCAGGGGTCTATGACATAGTTCTCTAGATCGCGTAAATAATAGAAAATTATGCCAGTTTCTAAAAACGCAACAGGGAATGGCTGAATTCTAGAATGCATGAATGGGTCATTATTTGATCAATTTCCAGCTTTGATTAGACCTTGGACCAGTTTGAGAGCATTTATAGGTGAATACAGTGATCGTTTGGATATAACCTAGCAGGCCAAATTAACTATACCAGGGAGATTACTGTTTGGCAAGATTACCAACCATATTTGTGCCAGGAAAAGAAGAACACAAGAAGGATAAGCCAGGTTCCATTGCTGGCCCATGGCCTAATGGTAGAGAAATCGCTGAAATGTGATTTGGAAAATAATACTTATTTAGCTGTGTAGCTACCTAAACAGCTGTTACAGTCTGAATGCTTGTGTCCCTCAACAACTCATATGTTGAAATTCTCACCCCCGAGGTAATGGTAATGGAGGTGGATCTTTGGGAGGTGATTAGGTCATATGGGTGAAGCCCTTATGATTGGGATTAGTGCCCTTATAATAGAGGCCTGAGAGTACTCCCTTGTCCCTTCTGCCATGTGGGCACACAGTGAAAGATGGCCATCTATGAACCACAAAGTGGGTTCTCACCAGACACCCAATCTGCTGGCACCTTGATCTTGGACTTGCCAGCCTCCAGAACAGTGAGAAATAAATGTGTGGTGTTTATAAGCCACCCAGTTTATGATATTTTATTATAGCAACCTGAATGGACTAAGACAATAGACATACTTAATTTTTTCTTTTTATTCAAGTCTGAGATCCACACAAAGGTGCACATATTTGCAATGTCCAGCATTATGGTTTTTTTTTTTTTTTAGATGGAGTCTCACTCTGTCACCCAGGCTGGAGTGCGGTGGCGCCATCTCGGCTCACTGCAACCCCCGGCTTCCAGGTTCAAGCGATTCTCCTGCCTCAGCCTCCCGAGTAGCTGAGACCACAGGCATGGGCTACCACACTCGGCCAATTTTTTGTATTTTTAGTAGAGATGGGGTTTCACCGTGTTAGCCAGGATGGTCTGGATCTCCTGATCTCGTGATCCACCCGCCTCGGCCTCCCAAAGTGCTGGGATTACAGGCATGAGCCACCACACCCGGCCCAGCATTATGTATTTTTACAAACCAAATACACCATTGTAACCTGCACCTAGATTAGGAAACTGAGCATGACAGCACACTCCAAGCTCCTCATGGCCTCTTCACGCCACAATTCCCTCCCCTATGCTGACCACTTTTCTGAGTCCCATGCCATAGATTAGTTTTGCCTGGTTTTGTATTTCATATACATAGAATTATATAGAATATAATCTTCTGTGTCTGTGTTTTGCTCGAATTACGTATTTGAGGTTCACCCACATTGTGTGTAGTTATAGATCATTCATTCCATTGTAAGAATATTCCACAACCTACTTATCCATTTCCCTGTTGATGGACATTTGGGCGGTTTCTCATTTGGGATCTTATGAATAGTGTTGTCATGAATATTCCTGCATGTTCTTCTTGGTGCCCATATTTCTGTTGAATATATACTCAGGAGTAGATTTGCTGGGTCATAGAATATGCCTATTTTTCAGCTTTTACTATTTTAGAATTTGGACTATGGCTTTTTTAAAATCTTAAATTCACCCTCCTTTACGGTTTGCCCACTCTTCTGCTCCCAAACCCAGCCGCGAGTCTCCATGTGGTTCCTTTGCCACTTGGCACAGAGCCTATTACTGTAGTCACCGGAGCCTCCCATTCACACATTCTGCTGAGCTCATAGAAGTTGAAGGACTGTGTTTCATTCACATGTGTTTGCCTGGCACCTAGCACAGTGCCTGGAATCTAGATGCATCTAGATTCCCTTTATCCCTTGTTGATCGGTGACGGTCCACATCGCAGTTGGTTGGAATACACAAAAGCAGCAAGAGCAAATTTTACAGGGATAAGGGAGACAGTTTTACAGTTGTTGCGGTTGTCTTTTAAATCAAGGGCAGCATGTTGAAGACCCGTCATGGTGGTAGTTGAGATTCTGTGGTATAGAGTTGTTTAGAAGCAGAAAATGAGCCCAGAGGGTGGCCACAGCTTGGAGAAGCAAATGCTGTGCTAATCCATGGATCATTTCCCCTGCAGTTCTCTGCCCTTCCCGGTCAGAGTGCAGTTAGTGTTTGGAACTTGGCTGTGAGCAATTGACTCAGGGCAGGGATTGGGGTGGAGTATGGGGAGGATGGGAGGGAGGTGAGGAAGGGTGGGAGATGAGGAAGAGCAGTGGTCCTTCTGGCTCAGCCGGGACCACTGAAGCAGTTCTTCCTCTCGTGCGGGAATCACCCAGTGTATGTGGGACAGGATGTTTGTAGGTGAGAAGGTAGAAGATGGGGAGCCACTGAAGGCTTAGGGCAGGTACAGGATGAAGGCTGTGTTTTAAGGTGATCTGTCTCTCGGGTTGTCCAGAAAGGAGAGGCCCAGGAAAGGGCAGAAACTCCCACCTGCAGACCCAAAGAAGGGCAAAGAATGCCAGACTCAGCCACCACCGAGTTCCTCATTTAGCCTCCCCATCACTTTGCTCCTCGTCTGCGATGTTTTTAAAAGCATAATTAACCTGATAAGTTGGTCTGCAGTTTGTCACTCTCCCTAAATACACAGGAAAATGTCCAAATGGAGAAAGGCCTCCCCCAGGACGAGGCTACCTGGACCAGATGACGGTCCAGCTTTTACTGTGTCAGAGTGGGGACACCTGGGTTGCCCAGGGGTGGTGTTCGTTCTCGGGGGAGGGGGGTGAGGGCAGGGCGCTGCACAGAGAGTGGACATGAGCCAAAGACATGAGTTCTAATCCCCAGCCTGCCATTCTCGGCTTTGCAGGGCTTAGTCATCATCGATTACAGGGGAGCTTTGGCCTTCTCTCTCATGGAGGGTGATTTCCACCTCAGACAATAAATGGTATATTTGCTGGGCATCTTTGGGGTGACATAAGTTCACACTGAGGATGAGTTTTCTCATCTGTGCAGGGGTATCATGCCTGCTGCTCCCATCATTGTTACAGCTGCTGCGGATGAAAGATTATCAATTGCTGCTTGGCACAGTTGAAACCACAGAATTCAATACAAATCCTTCCCTGAAATAGTGTAAAGGATAGTAAGCTCGGGCCCAAAAGCTGCTTTGAATACACAGGTATGTGCTAACATGTTAATTACCAGCCTGCCAGAAATACTAATGAAGCATTGATGGTTGTGAAGGCAACTTAAGAGGTTAGTGCCAGAGGCTGTGGTTGCCCTTGTCCAGGAGGAAGTTCAAAGCACTGTGGAGAGAGGGATGGATTCAGCAGGGAAAAGTCTTTGCCAAGTCGCAGAGCCAACCCAAGTGGAAAATGCAGGGAGAGGTCACTTCTTGGTGGTGGTGGCTGCAGGTGGGATCTGGCAAGAGGTGGGAATGAGGACCCAACATATTGAATGCTTTTGTTGAAGTATAACATAATATAGAAAAATGCACGTGCCATAAGTACACCATTCAGTAGATTTCACGAACTCAATACCCTTAGGTAACCAGCAGAATATTCCCACCCCCTTCAGCAGTAACCACTACCTTGACTTCTAGCTTCCAGGCTGGTGTTTCACCCTTCTTTTATACAAATGGAATCATGCAATATGCATTGTTTTGTAACTGTAATTTTGTTCAAAATTATGCTTGTGAGATTTATTAATATTGTTCCCTAGATATGTTATTATTGTTTTTTAAATTGCTTTTTAATTTTTAGAGACAGGGTCTCGTTCTCTTACCCAGACTGGAGTGCAGTGGTGCCATCATGGCTCACTGCAGCCTCAAATTCCTGGGCTCAAGTGATCCTCCTGCCTCGGCCTCCCAAATAGCTATGACTACAGGCACACACCACCATGGTGGCTAATTTTTTTTTCATTTGGTAGAAGCGAGATCTTGTCATGCTGCCTAGGCTAGTCTTGAACTTCTAGCCTCAAGGGATCCTCCAGCCTCAGCCTCCCAAAGTGCTAGATTACAAGTGTGTGCCACCAAACCTGGCTGAGATATTATTTGTGAATTCTCATTCCTGTATGGTATATGGTTGTTTAAATAGATCACAACTTCTTGATCTGTTCTTCTCTCATGGACACTGGGGTTATCCTTTGTTTGGGGCTATTGGAATACAGTTGCTAGGAAAATTCTTAGGCATGTCTCTTGATGACTATAAGCTCTCATTTTTGTTGGGGAAATACTCAGTAGTCAAAATGCTGGGTGATAGGATAGGGGCATGTTCAGCTTTAGTAGAACCTGCCAGTTTTCCAAAATTTTTCAACCAATTTAGATTCAACCATGCAAGAGGGCTCTGGTTGTATCACAATGACCTGCTTCATGCCAGCTCTCCTGTATACATTTCTTTTAATTCTCCCACAACCCTGTAAGAAAGGTGCTTAATGGAGAATTTTTGTTGTGTTGTTTAAACAAACAATTACAGCGTTTGGTAAATTATTGTAGAGCTAAGAACAAAGTATGAATATTAGGGGAGAGTAGACCTAACTCTGTCCTACCAATTGCAGGGGTTCTTAACTGGAAGGGGGCTGTCCACGGAGAGAAATTGGAAAATACATGAACTTGGATGGGAAAAACCAACACATCTTTATTTTCACTCACCTCTACCTGAAATAGAGCTTTTCCTCCATGAAGAATGCAGGTAGCAACTCACAGTAGCATTAGCTGTACCTGTGATTATAACACCACTAACAATCACAGATGCTTTCATGCCACATTACAGGTAGGGTGACCAACTGCCCCAGTTCGCCAGGGACTGAGGGGTTCTCCAGGACACAGGGTTCTCAAGTGCCAGTTTGCCAGGGACAGAGGGAATTTCCAGGACACAGGATTTTCAGTGCTAAACTGGGAAAGTATGGTACAAGCCAGGACAAGTTGGTCAACCTAATTCCAGGTGTAACAAATCTCAAAATGTCCTTTACACATATCACTGTTAAATTATGTTTGTTATTAGGCTCACCACTAGATCTTATTCAGTGAGTTTTTAGATATTTAAGTTTAATGAGTATTAACATATTTTGATAACTATATTTTAGTTTAATCAGTTTATTTTATAACCCATGTATCTTATTTTATGCATTTAAAACATTATACTGAGCAGGATTCATAGGCTTCATCAGACTGACATTTCAGATTTCAGTTGGGTCTTTTTTTCTTTTTTTTTTGAGATGGAATCTCTCTCTGTCGCCTAGGCTGGAGTGCAGTGGCACGATCTTGGCTCACTGCTACCTCCGTCTCCCTGGTTCCAGCCATTCTCCTGTCTCAACCTCCCAAGTAGCTGGGATTACAGGCATGTGCCACCACACCTGGCTAATTTTTCTATTTTTAGTAGAGACAGGGTTTCACCATGTTGGCCAGGCTGGTCTCGAACTCCTGACCTCAGGTGATCCACCAGCCTCGGCCTCCCAAAGTGCTGGGATTACAGACATGAGCCACCATGCCTGGCCCCTGCTGGGTCTTGATGTATACATTAAGAGTTTGCCACTTGGAGATAGGGAGCAGGAAAGATGTTCTAGGTGGAGGGAACAACATAAACAGAGGATTGTTAAGCACCCTAGAGGTGGCTCAAGAGGCTCTAAGGTATGGATTCATGATGAGTCCGAATGATGAGGCTAGTTCTTGGAGAGAAGTGAGGCCGTGCAGCAGGGAGTAACTCATTACAGGTGCCCCAGTGGAGGACTGGCTTGCCAAAGAGAGTGGGGTGGGGAGGAAGGAACAGAATGGGAACAGCTGACATCTAGGGTGTCCCCATGGATGTCTTTTACAACTGTTTCTGCCCTGCAAGCTTTTCTATCCAGCTTAGCTTTGTGGTCCAGGAAAAGGAGGAAAAGAGCTAACATTTCCTCAACCACACGTTCTCCTTTCCATCCCTGGATAATGGTAATTACTGCGGGGCAGGAGGGGAGTGATCCCTTCAGCACAGGGGCATGCTTCTTTGTAGACCACACCCACCTCCACCATGGAGGTCCTTGATTTGAAGGGTTGACTGAGTGTTCTCTCCCCTCCACTTCAGCTGCCACATGGAAACATTACTGATTTTCCAACTGGACATGAACCAATGCCTCTCTTCCATCTTCTCTGCTCTCCCGACTCCAACTGCAAGTGCTACGCAGGTGTGTGATGACACACAGGGAAGGAGGATTGGGTGTAAATGCAGGCCGGGGAAGACAAGGCCAAATGCCACACGATGACTCAGAAGGGACATCTGGGTCTTAAAGGATCAAGCAAGACCTCTGAACAGAGCCAACAGGTCAAGTGAGTAAGACAGAGACGCAATGTGGGCAGTGAAGAAGCTGAGGCTCCAGCAAGGTCCCCCGCCCCGTCACAAGGCCTGATATTCACACCACCTAGTCTTGCCAAAACAGCTCAGTGTGTGAGAAGGGTGTGTCCTTACTCATCAGCATAACTTTCCTGTGAGGTAGAGAAGGAGCAACTGGGCAGATTGAGATGTCAGGAGAAATGCCAACTTCAGGAAAAAGGATAGAGTTTCCACCAGGTGAATGAAAGGCGTAGAAATAGTCTGTATGAGAAGTAGACTGGACAAAGAAAATGTGGCACATATACACCATGGAATACTATGCAGCCATGAAGAATGAGATCATGTCCTTTGCAGGGACACGAATGAAGCTGGAAGGCATCATCCTCACCAAACTAACACGGGAACAGAAAACCAAACACCGCATGTTCTCACTCACAAGTGGGAGTTGAACAATGAGAACCCACGGACACAGGGAGGGGAACATCACACACAGGGGCCTGTTTGGGGGTGGGAGGCAAGGGGAGGGAGAGCATTAGGACAAATACATAAGGTATGTGGGGCTTAAGACCTAGATGACGGGTTGATGGGTGCGGCAAACCACCATGGGGCATGTATACCTATGTAACAAACCTGCACATTCTGCACATGTATCCCAGAACTTAAAGTAAAATAACAAAAAATAAAAAAAAGAAATAGTCTATATGAGAAGTAATTTATAACCTAGTAGAAAAGGCAGTCACTAAACTTGTCACAAAAACGGGTGCATGAAGCCACTTCCCAGACCCTGAGCATTTATTAGTTCACCAAAGGTCCAGAGGTTTTTCTTGAGGAAACTTTAGTACTTTAGGTAGAATAAAGGGGACCACATTTCTGCCGCGTATGGGCAAAGGGCCTATTCGCCTGGTAACAATCCCATCAGCTCTTGATACCAGCAGGCCTTGTAAATTACATATCACAGCAGGGGCAAGCAGGTTTTAAACTCAGCTGCTCCATAATTAAACATTACTGTGTTCCTTTTCACTTTTCTTACCTTCTTAAAGGTCGAGAATGTTGTATTTCATTTTTCAGCTTTCATTGATTTAGCCTTTGATTTTGTAACCAGAAAAGGCTTAGGACCAAGTGTCTAGAAATGTGCTAGACCTAAAGCTATTAGTGCTTCTCTATAGACTGTTTTCTGGAACACTCGTGAGAAAAACAAGTGGGCAGAAATGTTCTTACAACAGATTAAACCTTAATCAACTACCTAAACCTCCCCCTACCCTCTCATCACCTCTGTGCTTAGGTAGGCAATTCTGTGCTTTAAAAAAAAAAAAGAGCATCATCGGCCAGGTGCAGAGGCTCACACCTGTAATCCCAACACTTTGGGAGGCCGAGGCGGGTGGACCACCAGAGATCAGGAGTTTGAGACCAGCCTGGCCAACATGGTGAAACCCTGTCTCTACTAAAATACAAAAATTAGCTGGGCGTAGTGGCACAAGCCTGTACTCCCAACTACTCAGGAGGCTTAGACAGGAGAATCGCTTGAACCCGGGAGGCAGAGGTTGCAGTGAGCCGAGATCGTGCCACGGCACTCCAGCCTGGGCAACAGAGTGAAACTCTGTCTCAAAATAAATAAATAAACAAATAGAAACAAAAATAAAACTGAAAAAAATAGCACCATTGGGGTAATTCCCGTAACATGAGATTCGCCATTTCAAGGTGTACACTCAGGGATATTTGGAATAGTCAGAAAGTTATTCATTGATTTGCTACCATTTAATTCCAGCACATTTTATCACACCAGACAGAAACCCTGTACCCACTAGTAGGCAGTTCCCATCCTCCACCTCCCTCCAACCCCCGGCAACCACTAATCCACAGTTTGCTTCTACAGATTTGCCCTTTCTGGACATTTTACATAAATGAAACCACATCCTATGTGGTCTTTTGTGACTGGTTTCTTTCACTCAGCATAATGTTTTCAGGGTTCATCCATGTTGTAGCATGTAACGGTCCTTTATACCTTTTTATTACTGAATAATATTGTCTGGTCGGTGTGGTTTTATAATGAAGGTTGCCCCTCACCTTGGAGGACACAAATACTCTGCCATTTTATATTGTGGTTTTACTTTTGGGAACTGGGAGAAGCCTAATTTAACAATGTTTTTTTTGTCCAATTACTTACTCTTCGGGGTGATTATGTCAGGAGCAAGATGGTGGTTTTTTTGCTCGCATTTTCCACAATTGGTGGGACAGAACCAAACAGCCCATCCTGGTTTGTTTGTTGGATTCATCTCCATGTCCTGGCAGCCTGGGGGAATGTGGCAACTCGAATGTGGCTGGTCAAAATCAAATGTGGGCTGGGTGTGGTGGCTTATACCTGTAATCCCAGCATTTTGGGAGGCCAAGGTGGGAGAACTACTTGAGCCCAGGAGTTCGAGACCTGGGAAACATGGTGAGACCCCATCTCTACAAAAAATTTTTAAAAAATAGCCTGGCATGGAGACACATGCTTGTGGTCCCAGCTACTAGGAAGGCTGATGTGGTAAGATCGCTTGAGCCAGAGAGGTCAAGGCTGCAGTGAGCTATGATCGAACCACTGCACTCCGGCTGGAGTGACAGAGTGAGACCCAGCCTCAAAAAAAAAAAAAAAAAAAAGAAATCAAATGTGTAGCAGAACCACAATGGACCTTTTCCTTGGGGGGCAGAGAAAAATCTTACTCTTAAAATTCTCAAGCTAAGAATGGCCTTTGACAGACTTTATGTGGGGAATCTGAGCTTGATTGCACATGGAATCATTCCTTCATTCTTTTTTCTGTTCATCAAAGGTCCAGAGCTATTTCTTCAGGAAACAGCCATGCTTGGATGACCCCAATTGGAGACTGGAAACCCTCCTTTGGGACAAGTCTGGTCCACAATAAATGCCCTACTATCTGTGTGGCAGAAATAGCAACCCCAGCACCTGTCATTCCTCCACTGAAAGGCGGTGTAGAGAAAGGGGTTTTCAGATTGGCTGGTGAGAAAAGGCCTCCTCCAGGGGTTGGGGTAAAAGGAGATTCAGAGTCATTCAGGGAAAAGAAGAAAATCAAAATTACAGGCTTCTCATTGGATTCTGCAGTCTGTGAGTCTGGACAGTGGGCAGGGCTAGTGGTCACCCATTTGGAAGGACTTGGGCCTTTGAGATCCTCTGATCCTCTCTGTGGTGCTTCCCCTGACCTTAGACTTGGGGGCCTCAGGAAGGTGAGCCTTGGCCATGAAGAAACCTGAGTGGACACATTGCATGTGTGGGTAGCCGCGGTACGCAGGGTGGTGGGCACGCTCAGCATTTGGAATTGGGCAACATGCAGGAAGGGGACCTTGCCAGCCTTGCTGCAGCAGCCACTGAATTACAGCCAACACTCCCTGCTTTATGTTAATTAACTTCTAATCAGCATAACTCCAAGCCAGGTGTGTTTGCAGTGTATTTGTGTGTGGGAGGAACATGATCCGGCGTAAAGTTTTAGATCTTCCTAGGTCTGAGCCAAACTAAACCACGTTGGTTGATCATGAAACTCTTCACTTTGTGCCAGACTTGGGGGTGTGGTGGCTGGATTTTAGGAGCTATATCCAGAATGGAAACACGGCGATTTGCTCTGCCATGGGCGCTATGAGGTAGGCACCCTTGGTGATCCTAAGGTGAGCGGTGGGTCCTGACCCAGTCTGTGCAGAGGAATACGGCGACTCCGACGGTGGCATCTTCATTGTGAGAAGCATGGGGAGTGTGTGAATGTGGGGTCCCCACAAGGCCCTCACAGTCCTGAGAGTGCCTTTGAACTGTGTTGAGAGTGACAGACATACTCTTATGACACTTCTAGAAAGATGATGTCATAGGCTGCATTGCATCTTCCCACCCCCCACCATGTGTATATTGAAGCCCTAACACCTTATGACTATATTTGGAGATAGGGTTTTTAAAAAGGTAGTTACACTAAGTGAAGTTATTGGGGTGGGCCCTAATCCAATATGACTGGTGTCCTTGTAAGAAGAGGGGCTTAGGGCACAGACACACCCAGAGGGAAGACCATGAGAAGATATAAAGAGGCGAGAGCCATCTACATGCTCAGGAGAGAGGCCTCAGAAGAAAGTACACCTGCTGACACTTTGATGTTGGACTTCCAGCCTCCAGAACTGTGAAGAAATAGAATTCTGTTGTACCACCCAATCTGTGGTACTTGGTTATGGCAGCCCTAGAAAACTGATCCAGATGGTGTAACCAGCAAGGAAGGCAATGAAGATGGGGTCCTGGAAGGTTTCCAGAAGAGGATGGATCAAATAGGGGAGCTAAGGAATGGGCTTACTGAAAACTGATAACTTTGCCCACCATAAAAATTTAGAGAATGACTTTTTTTTTTTTTTTTTTTTTTTTTTTTTTTTTGGAAGCAGGGAGGAAAGCAGCAGATGGTCTGGGACAGTTAGAGAAAAAAGAGTTCCCAGCCATGCAAGCACCCTGGTGGCTTCCTGCAGGAGGTGACCCATTTTCTACGGCTCTATGGGATCATGGCTCAATTGGAGGGGGCATCATCTGTCCGGGGTAGGCAGCCTTGCAGGCTGAGCTTGCTTTTAGGATTGCTGACAATTCCCCCAGGTACTGCTGGGAGTCAGCAGAGTCCCTTGAAGCTGGTGCCCTGCACAAGTCCAGGAGGCACCATTCACATAGGTCATGAGTTGTGCCCATAGCACTCCGGGCTCAGGACCTCTATACCAAACTCTTAAATATCATCACAAATCAATGGCCATGTGTTTCCATAATATACTTTTGGGGAGCATACTGTGTACCCTGGGTAAGTGAGAGAATAAACGTTTCTGAATGTGAGCTTCCTAAAATGGACAGCGTTGTGAAGATCAGGTAAGGCTATATGTGCCAAATGTTGGGCACAGAGCCTGGCATGTTACACTCTCAAAAGTTGTACTTATGTCTGAGAAAATGCTACAGAGAGGCCCCCCTGAAGGCAGACCGGCCAGGTTTGGTGCATACCATTTACTGATTAAAAATAATAGTTACCAATCTTTTTCTCATTGTAAAAGCAATATTTGGTCAGGTATGTATCAGCCAGACCTCTCGGAGAAACAGAACCAGAAGGACATGTATACAGGAAGAACTCACTCATGCAATTATGGAGGCTCTGAAGTACCATGACCTGCTGCTGTCTTCAAGCTGGAGACTCAGGAAAGCTGGGGTTGTGTTTCCATCCTAAGTCCAAAGGCCTGAGAACCAGGGTAGTGGCAGTGTAAATCCCAGTCCAAGGGCATGAGGAGACGGATGCATCAGCTGAAGCAGGCAGGCAGGAGGCAACAAGGGGTGAACTCCTCCTTCCTCTGCCTTTTTGTTCTATTCAGACCTCAGAAGATCGGGTGGTGCCCACCCACATGGGTGAGAACAATTTTCATCACTCAGGTTACTGATTCAAATGCTAACCTTATCCAGAAACACCCTCATAGACACACTCAGAATAGACACACTCACACGCAAACACATACCCCTTGATCCAGTCAACTTGATACACTGTAAATTTTTTGGAAAATATAAAAACAACACAGAAGGAAATAAAAAAATCACCTGTTATCCACCACCCAGCAATAACCACTGTTAACAGTAAGGCCTGAAGATTTCTGTTATTTTTTTTCCTGTGTATTTGTACAGTATATATATATATACTTTATTTTTGAGACGGAGTCTCGCTCTGTCACCCAGGTTGGAGTGCAGTGGCACAATCTCGGCTCACTGCAAGCTCCGCCTCCCGGGTTCACGCCATTCTCCTGCCTCAGCCTCCCGAGTAGCTGGGACTACAGGCGCCCGCCACCACGCCCGGCTAATTTTTTGTATTTTTAGTAGAGACGGGGTTTCACCGTGTTAGCCAGGATGGTCTCGAGCTCCTGACCTCCTGATCTGCCCGCCTCGGCCTCCCAAAGTGCTGGGATTACAGGTGTGAGCCACCGCGCCCGGACATTGTTTTTTTGTTGTTGTTGTTTTATAAAAAATGATTATCCTGCCAATCTGATTTTCAATTAAAATTATATTATGCACACTTCCTCATGTAAGGCACAACTCTTTTAAAGCATGGCTTTTCATTGCTATGCAGTATTCTACACAGTTGCTGTGTAGCATTTAGTACTGTGATTAAATAAATTTAATTGTAGTTCACAATGTTTGTTTGCTGGTGTTTTGTTTTGTTTTGTTTTGTTTTGTTTTGAGACAGAGTCTCACTCTGTCACCCAGGCTGGAGTGCAGTGGCGCGATCTCGGCTCACTGCAGCCTCCGCCTCCTGGGTTCAAGCGATTCTTCTGCCTCAGCCTCCCGAGTGGCTGGGACTACAGGCACACACCACCACACCCAGATAGTTTTTGTGTTTTTGGGAGAGACAGGGTTTCACCATATTGGCCAGGCTGGTCTCAAACTCCTCACCTCGTGATCCGCCCACCTCGGCCTCCCAAAGTGTTGGGATTACAGGTGTCAGCCACCGCGTCTGGCTGCTGGTTTGTTTTTATAAAGATGGTGTCTTGCTCTGTTGCACAGGCAGGAGTGCAGTGGTGCGGTCACAGCTTGCAACAGCCTTGCACTACTGGGCTTAAGCCATCCTCCCACCTCAGCCTCCCAAGCAGCCACCTCACCCACACAACCCCAGGCCACTATAATTTTTGAATTGATTGATGGACCACAGTGGCTCTGAGAGGTCAGATCTTAGAAGCAAGTGTTAGCAAATTCCCTGGTGGAAGCAAGGAGACTGTTGTTCTTTGACTGGTAGGATCCTAGAAATTTCAGCACATGCTACAAGAAATTTCTGCAGCACTGGCTACTTTCTAGAGGTTCATCAGAAAGGTGCTTGAATACATGGGTGTATTTGGATTAATTGGATGTGGGGCCCTGGGAAGAAGGTGAGGGGCAGCCATCCTGGGTGGTGAATTGACTGGGAGTCTCCCAATGTCTAGGGGTGGAGGGACTATGGGAGAGGTGTAAGAACCTAACATGACCAGTCCTGACCTGTGGAGAACTTAAAAGCACTTTTATGACTTGCAGACATTTGCAAAAACTAAGGACTTTATTGCCAAATCCTTCACTCCTTTCCCCTAGAAGCTTTGGGGGTAGAACTGCCTCTAACATTTGCAGCGGTTAGAGGAAGACTCCAGAGGGAGGCCTCTGTCCCGTGGCCTACCCCCTTCTCTTCCCACTCGAATTCATCGTGTGCCTCCTGGGGGCCTTGAGTTCATGGATGTGGACTCCCAGCCTACATGTCCAAGTTTCTTCTTAGCCACCAGACCCAAACAGTGATGTCGTGGCTGCCTCTTGGACATTGAGCTGTGTATACTGGTGGTGTGGTCCACTCGTAGGAGGACAGATAGGAGGACAACAGGGGCCCTGAGGCAGATAATTCCAACACCCTGGGCACCTGGAATGTGGTTTAGGAAGAGCGGGACAGTAGGCTCTGAGTGGAGGCCTGGAGGAGGACCCTTTAAAGTGCACAGTGAGGGCAGTGGCCCCAGTTCTGTGTCTGAGGTCTATGTGGAGAAGCCAGTGTCTCAGGCACAGGGAGCAGTACTGCCTGGGACTGCATAGGACAGGACAGGCCTCAGAGGCTAACCTGAGGCTAATGCTTTGGCCTGTCAAAGCATCAGGAGATGATAGACCCAGAAGCAGCAGCTGTCGGAGTCAGCCCCAGCTCATTGGGGCAGGATGCTGGGGCTTTGCCCCACAGGTCTTTGATTTTGGAGGGGTCTGCCCCTGAGAATTCCCCAGTATAATTTTGAGTCTCATTTAAGTCTGAACACAAAACTACTATACACACCTTACATGTGCCACCTGGAGCCCCACAAGGCCCATATTCACCTTGGAGAAGCCACATAGGGCCAGACATAGTGGCACGTGCCTGTCATCTCAGCCACTTGGGAGGCTGAGATGGGAGGATTGCTTGAGCCCAGGAATTTGAGACCAGCCTGGGCAATATAGCAAGATCCTATCTCAAAAGAAAAAAAAAAAAGAGAAGCCACATAGGTGAAAAGGCCACCTTTCTAGTCCTTTTATCTTGGAAATTACAGGCAATTTCTACAGAACAAGCAAGTCTGTTAAGGTTCAGGGAAATTGGGGATCCTGAGGGTGAAAATTTTGCAGCAGGGTGTTTGAGACTTCCTCAGAGAGAGCCCTCCCTTCCCCAGGGGCAGTCAACTGTCTTTAGTTCTGAGATAAGCCGCTGCACTGATTCTGTTGTCTGGGTCCAGACAAGGGAATTGTGTGTGAGAGGCAGCACTTAGAGTTCAGACAAGGAAAGTGAAGACTCCCCTGCCGGGTGCCTGAGCCCCAGTGCCTCCCGAAGCTCTTGGCCAGGGTTAGAACAGCTCTCCAAGATGACCTGGACCTCTAGGTCCTTGTTTCTCAGAGAGCGGTCCTTGCACCAGCAGCATTGCATCACCTGGAAGCTTCTAGAACTGCAGAATCTCTGAGCTCACCTCAGAGCTACAGCCTCAGAACCCACATTTTAATAAGATCCTCAGGTGGTTCATGTGTACATCTGAATCTGAGAAGTGCTGTTTTCAAGTGACTGGGCACCATTTCCAAGTTTAACTATATCTCTCACTAAGGGTGGGCTTCAGGCCTCGGCTGTGCTTCACTATTTTCAGACGGCAGGAGTTAGTCACCTCCTTGCACCTCCATTGGCATTCACCCATAGAGCTCCCAGCTCTCTCTTCCTCCCAGGCAGGATCCCCAGGCTCTCATTCCCCCGGCAGGTGTCTGGTCTCCACAGCAGCTTTGTGAGTATTTCAGGGTTGGGGCGGCTTCTGCTTCTTTTGCATCTGCCGAGCAGTGGTTTCCATGTGACCTCTCCGCACCAGCAGCATCAGTATCACCTGGGAATTTGTTAGAAATGCAAATTCTCAGACCCCACCCTGGTACTAGGGAATCAGAAACTCTGGGGATGGGGTTCAGCCATCTGTGTATAACAAGCCCTCCAGAGGTTTCTGACGCAGACTCCGGCGTGGGAACCCGCGGAGCCTTGTTACAATGCCGACCACAGGACGGGCACAGCGTCACCCAGCAGCATGTTAGAAACACAGACCTACAGTCAGGACCTGCAGATTCAAGTGCACATTCAAGTTCCAGGAGCCCTGCTGCAGGCAGAGAAGGGAGGGGTAGTTCTACAGAAGCACAGGCAAGGCACGTGGACCAGCTGCAGCTTTCCTGAAGAACATGGGTGGGACTCAAAGAACGGAACAAAGGATGGACATAACGCGGTTATTAGTTCAGGATGAGCTGAGTCCTAGGGGAGGAGCCCCCCAGCCAGGAGGAAGTCACCTTTCTGGGGTGAAAATGAAGCGCAGAATGCTTAGATCAGTCGGCAAGGTCAGGCCTTGCCTGGAGAAGCTCAGGTTCCGGCTGGGATTAAGGCTCCCCTTAGAGTGGGAAGCTGTACAGACCCAGATTTCCCTCCAAAGACAGACCCCTTTTGGTCTTAGCCCCAGATGGGGAGGGGGAAAAACAAGGGCAGCGCCTGGCTGTTCTCCGAATAACCCTTTCTGGGGGATTGAACTCAATTATGTTTATGCTGGTCATTTTAAATTTTTTTCTTTTCCTTTTTAGTAAAAATTCCTTTTGCATGACTCACACGTTTGAAATAACAAAGGAAACATGAGGCCTGGGAAAGATACAGGTGGATATTATTCACTCTGGTCCTACAAGTAGCTATGCTTCGAACACTTTAAGTCTCCTCAGTTGACTCTTTTTGAGAAATTATTATAGGCAGGTAATGAAAAGTTTATTTTATTTTATTTTTTTGAGACGGAGTTTCGCTCTTACCGCCAGGCTGGAGTGCAATGGCGGGATCTCGGCTCACTGCAGCCTCTGCCTCCCGGTTATAAGCGATTCTCCTGCCTCAGCCTCCTGAGTAGCTGGGATTACAGGCACGTGCGACCACACCCAGCTAATTTTTTGTAATTTTAGTAGGGAATGGGGGTTTCACCATGTTGGCCAGGCTGGTCTTGAACTCCTGACCTCAAGTGATCTGCCTGCCTCGGCCTCCCAAAGTGCAGGGATTACAGGCGTGAGCAACTGTGCCTGGCCGAGAATTGTATTTGTCATTCTTTCTGTTTTAGTAGTTTTGTGGGTGATGATTGGTATCTTTCCATCTTTAATACAAAGCTGATCCTCTGATCACCGTAGGAGGTTGGCATTATATTGTAAATTTTTAAAAACTTCATATTTTCCTGATACCTTGACATCCTACAAATAGGCAGTGGGCACCCTGTCCAGGTAACCAGGTGCCAGTGTAATAAGGCTGGTCCCTGCCACAAGTTCCACTTCTTGTCTTCCCCTGACTGTGACTTAGTGACATTCAAACACACCAGTGAGATCCCCTTACACCTTGTGCTTGTGTCCTCCATCCTGGCTCCCAGTAAAGGCACTTGCCCAGGAGTTCTCTCTCTTTCTGTCTCATACACGCTGAGTTGCACCCAATCCCTGGGCACGCCTCCAATCCAGCCCCCTGCTTGGCATGACATGCCTCCCTCTCTAGGACCTATGAGTACAATAATTTCAAGTGCCTCTCCCCTAGAGTTTCCCTAGCCAGGCTGGAGTGATCCTTGAAGACCCCACCAGAGGCACTTCCCCATTTACAACACAGACGTTTGCTAAGATATTGGCCTGTGATTTCAACCACTGTCACTTCTGATTACCCCCTGCCTTTAGCAAATTAGTTGCAGGAGAAAACTTCTGCCAAGGATAACCAAGAACATCACAGTGCTGGTGCGTCGAAACATGTAGAGAATGAGTTGGAAGATTATGACAAATCAAAGTCACCTTTCAGATCAAAGGTATTGAATCTGAGAAGAGTGTGTCACTAAGGCTCACAGGACCTGAGACTATTTTAGAGCCTGATTTGGGGTGCATAAAGCAGGCACAGGTGACCCTTGAACACCACGGGTTGGAACTGAGTCCACGAGACACAGATTTTCTTCTGCCTCTGCCACCCAGGAGACAGCAAGACCAACCCCTCCCCTTCCTCCTCAGCCTTCCTCAATGTGAGGAAGATGAGATGAAGATCTTTATGATGATCCACTTCCAGTCAGTGAATAGTAAATATACTTTTCCTTCCTCATTGTTTTAACAACATTTTCTCTAACTTACTTTATGGTAAGAATACAGTATATAGTATATATGACATGTGAAATATGTGCTAACCAACTGTTTACGTTATTGGTAAGGCTTCCAGCCAACAGCAGGCAATTAATCTATTAGCAATTAAGTTTTGGGGGAGTTAAAAGTTCTATGCAGGCCGGGCGCGGTGGCTCATGCTTGTAATCCTAGCACTTTGGGTGGCTGAGGCGAGCAGATCACTTGAGGCCGAGTTTGAGAACAGCCTGGCCAATATGGTGAAACTCCATCTCTACTAAAAATACAAAAATTAGCCGGGCATGGTGGCATATGCCTGTAGTCCCAGCTACTCAGGAGGCTGAGGCAGGAGAATCGCCTGAACCCGGGAGGCGGAGGTTGCAGTGAGCCGAGATCCCGCCACTGCACTCCAGCCTGGGCGACAGAGCGAGACTCCGTCTCAAAAAAAACAAAACAAAACAAAAAAAACTTCTCTGCAGATTTTCGACTGTGCGGCAGGTCAGTGCCTCTAATCCCTGTGTAGTTCAAGGGTCAACAGTTCTTTAGAGCTTGTTAATTTTCATTTTAATCAAGAAAATCTATTTCTAAATCCAGGACTGAAAAAAGCTCCCAGACTGTTCCTCCTGCTGCAATAGTGCCTTTGCAGTTTACCAGTGCTAAGCCCACTTAGATGCTTGTGGAGAAAATGCAAAAGCCGCAGAGATGAACTAGTGGGTGACTGGGAAGTGAGGACAAGGGCAGGAACAGGGGGAAGTGCGTGAACCATCGGCCATCACTTGAGAAGGGAGGACAGAAAGCGCCACTTGGCTCAGATTAACCCCCAAAACAGTCCCCAACACAGGGCAAGCACCAGGAAATACAACTGCAGACACGGGAGGTGGTGCTCATCTTCGCTCGTTTAATTTCAGTCAGATATTAAACATTTACAATTTTTTTATATAACAAAACAAGAACATGCAAAGTTACAAATATAGAAAATATAAAGTACATGCATATTTCAAAGACCTGTTAATGGTGTCCACTTTGGATTCTTACATGAAACGATTCAGTGCACATTGTAAGCCTAAGGACCACGCAAAAGGGTTTCCCACATATTAAGTATTCAGTACCTTACAAAAGTTAATGCATTAGACACTTCAGATGTTAACTGCTCTAAACAAAACTCCTAAGTCTGTCCTATGCAATATATATTTTATATACATATATATTTTTACATAGAATACTCACAAAGTGCAAGCCAATAATAACATTGCAGAAAAGTAATACATATCTGCTAGGTGACAATATCAAACAATTCAGGGAATAATTTTACTTTAATTAACATTAACAGAATTTCTTTTTCCACTTCAAATCAATCATATTTCTGTCATCTCCAACCTAAGATATTTTTTAGATTGTCTCCCTATTCTTTGATTCAAAAGCCAATTACAGAAACTATGAACTTGACCTAATTCTGGTTTTTGACAATTATGAGACAGAAATAAAGAAATGCAAGCAGTTCTTTTCTTTGCACACTGACCATTTTTTAATTACATCATCCTCTATGATGATGGTGCTTTCACAACTGCAGCTCTCCTGTATGTCAAAATCATTCTGGTTTCCAGGTAAATGGACAAAGGAGATTTGCCTTCAGTGTCTAGAAGGCAATTTACTTTTCAGCTGCCTTAATTACCTATAGTTTAAAGAAAGGAATGCCACATATAGGGTCCTTTAAACATCTAAAATGGGAGGTTGCCTCCAAGGGCACCATTCCCAAACATTTGATTTCAAGTCCCAGAAGCCTTTCATATATGTTACAGTTATGTTCACTGTGAATATGTCCTCTAGCCAGAGGTTCAGTGTTGTGACAATATTTACTCTTGTTGAACAGCTGCTGTGTAGCCCATACTGTGAAAAGTAAAACATCACCCCAGTTCTCGGTACACACAGAGCTCATGCTCCAGCGGGCTGAGCCTGCATCCCAAGAGCTAAGAATCTCTAGGATTTTTTTGAATAAGTATCATGTGGCCTCCTAACAAACCTGGCAGAAATGTTGTCGGGTTTTCTTAAAATGGAAAATATCTCTAAATAGCTATGAAATCTCTACTAAGATAGGGCATTAGTATACTGAGCTCTAGCTGCTGAAGGAGCCAGAGGTATCCAGGCAAAGGTATTTCAGACTGTTCTGAGATTTGTTTTAGCCTCAACCTGTTGCACTAAGTCCAAAAATAAGTCCAGATTAACCAATGGTTATTTGCTGTTATACTTTTACTGGCCTGGCATTAGCAACGGCTCATGATGAACTCAATCAAAGGGGGCTTGACCAGCATCTCAGGTCTACTCTATGTTTTCCAGTGCCCATCAGTGCCAAGGGTATTGATTAGCCTATCCGGGACAAAGAGAGAAGAAAGAGTGAGACACCACCACTAAAAGGGCTGCAGGTGGATACCGCCTCCCTCAAGCTGGAAAAAGATTAGAAAGATGGTGAAAACAGGAAGACCTTCCTCATCCCACTATCAGGAAGATGAGGAAAGAGATCAGGAGGATCACAGGTGGAGAGGAGAAGAGGACCATGCTCGATCCTCTCTGGTAATAGGCCTGAGATTCCCTCTCGTACTGGGTGATACACATCTGCTCAACCACGCGCTCCATCATCTTAACGTCGGTCTCGGTGAAGTTCTCCCCCTTGGTGGTTGTGGTGACCGTGTGCTGCTTGATTGTGATATTGACGCAGTCGTGCACAAAGTTGTTCTGGTTGCTGTACTCATCCATGGGCCTGTAGTACACTTGGTTGGGGTAACGGTGCATGTTTTCACGATAGTAACGGTCCTCATAGTCACTGCCGAAATGTATGATGGGCCTGCTCATGGCACTTCCCAGCATGTAGCCGCCAAGGCCCCCCACCACTGCCCCAGCTGCTGCAGCACCAGCCATGTGCTTCATGTTGGTTTTTGGCTTACTCGGCTTGTTCCACTGACTGTGGGTGCCACCTCCTTGACCCCAGCCACCACCATGAGGCTGTCCCCAGCCACCACCATGGGGCTGCCCCCAGCCACCACCATGAGGCTGCCCCCAGCCACCACCATGAGGCTGCCCCCAGCCACCACCGCCCTGAGGTGGGTAGCGGTTGCCTCCAGGGCTGCCCTGCCCCGGGTATCGGCTGCCCCCAGTGTTCCATCCTCCAGGCTTCGGGCGCTTCTTGCAGAGGCCCAGGTCACTCCATGTGGCCACAAAGAGAACCAGCATCCAGCAGCCAAGGTTCGCCATAATGACTGCTCTGCAAAATGAAGAGGAGAACGTCAGAGTCCCATATTTATGTTGAAATTACTAAATGTTTCCTGCATAATGAATGAGTGCATAGCAATGGTATCAGCTGCTCAGTAGAAACACTGTTGCCACCCTGTACTTCTCTGAAGCACTTAGGACAAAAGCAAAAGTAAGAAAAGGGTGAACACAACTCTTTCTCCTGCTCCAAGGACAAATGTGACCCTAAGTTATGGACTTGATGAATGACTTTTAGTTCATTATTTAACATTTTATGAGTGAATTATTTTCTTCTAATTTTTGTACCAAAACAACAAACAGATCAAACATCCAGAATGACAATTTATGACCCTTTGGAGAATGTACATTCATCAAATCAAAAATCTCTTTTCAAATTAAAGATCTCATTTACCCTGGGCACTTAGCTCCAAGAGCAGAGACCTATGACAATAGTAAAATGATTGCTAAACAGTACCTGCTGTACCCTAGGTCAAATCATAGGCTCCAAATCATCACTGTGTGCCGTAAAACCTATAATGGCATATACTGGAACACTGAAGTTAGTCTTGTCCTCAGTGCTGGGATGATCTGCAATTGTTTTTCTCTCTCTCTTTCTCCTTTTTTATTTTTATTTTTTAAAAAAACAATACCCAGCTTGTTGAGATATAATTCACATACCATATAATTCACCATATACCATGTACAGTTCAATGGTTTTTAGTACATTTAATGAAACGTGCAACCGAAACTGTTGCCAATTTTAGAACATTTTTGTGAACTCAGAAACCCCTTACCTTTATCACCCAATTAGCTGCAAATTTTTCTAAAAATTAGAAAATTATTTTTCATCTCCTTCAGAGCTAATGATTAAACTGGATAATATTCATAAAAAGAATTACCAAATAAATAAATTAACATCCTGTTTATGTTTCTACTAACATTATTGAAATGGGAAGTTTTGCCTTGGTGGTCATAAGCAAATCAAAATATATTTGAAAGTTACAAGCAGAGTTAAAGTACTCAGGTCATGCCAGTTAGGGTTTTTGGAGGCTCTTTTAGGTGGGGGTCTGTGGTGCAGGTTCTTTGCAGGCCTGCTTCCCTGATGTAGTCCCCACAATCTCGTGAGGCCCAGCTCTTGGCCTCCCTGCTACTCATACACCCCAGGAAATCAAACTAGGGCACCATCCCCTCAGTCAGTAGCTTTCAGTCTAAAGGGCTTTTATGTCAGCACCTTCTCCATTCGCTGCAATGGGTGACAAATCCAGCCAATGCTCTAGAGTGACTGAATTTTCTCTCCCAGCATACATTGGATCTATCAGCAAATCTCAGTAGCTCTACCTTGAAAATCAATGCTAAGCACCTCAGCTTCTCAATTTTTCCAACATGACCATCTTATTCGGTGCTTCCATCACTTCTCACCTGATTTCTTCAACAGCCTCCCAACCAGCCTCCCTGCTCCTCCCCTGGCTGCCATTGAGCGCTCTCCTCTTAATATGCGGGTCACATCATGCCACTTCCCTTGTCCCTCAGTGAGGCTCCTTTGTACTCTGGATAAAACACAAAGTCGTGGCCATACTGGCTGGGCCCCATGTAACCTGGTTCAGGCCTCCCACTGCTCCTCAAACTGACAAGCCCATCCTGTCTCAGGGCTGTTGCACTTGCTGTTCCCTGGTCCTAGAAGGCTTTTCTTCCAGCTACTCATGTGGCTAAAGTTTGCTCAGTGGGGCTGTTCCCATCACTCTACCTAAAACAGCACCCCCTAGCCCACCCCCTTTCCTGGCTTCATTATTCTCTGGAGCAGTTACAGCTACTTGAGATATTATGTTATTTCCTCTGTGCTTATTATTCATGTTCTCCACGGGAGTGCAGGCTCCTTTAGGGCGGGAGTTTGGTTTTGTTCACAGCAGTGTTCCTAGACAGAGCGCTTGACCCATAGACATGCAAAATAAATGCTGGATAAATGAATGAATGGGAAAACACATGTTATAAAGCATAAGGAATAATCAAACTAAATACTAAATATTTATAATGGATATACAAAGAGAACCATATTTATAAATTTACAAAATAGTATTTTTGACAATGGCCAGCTAACATTTTCAATTCAGTTAAATAAACATTTATTTCATGTGCCAGCTACTGCAGTAGACTCTGGCTGGCTGGAGATATTACCTGAAATGGGTAAGATGGGAGGAAGAGGAGACTGCAGGGAATGACACTGAGTCGGGCTTTGAATGTGCCTCATTTAAAGCTGTAAGAGTTAAGGATCTATGAGCTCTTAGAGACACCTGAACAGGCGAGGACATGGCATAGTGAGAGAAGCACAGAGGAGAAGAACCAGGCACAGAAGGTGGGTGAGGCCAGACAACTTTGGAGTGGAGATGGGTGGTGAGAGAGGACACTGGCATGTCTGGGGGCCTATACATCTAAGATACTCTCTGTCACCAGTCAAGTAGTGGCCTAGTCCTCTGGCATATTTCAAGATATCCTATTAAGTATATGGTAATGGTCAATACCTGTTTATTACTAAGAAGAATGCTAAGAATACACTCAGAAATACAACAGGGACATCCATTGTCATGGGACTCAAGGTGCTGTCCAAGGCCATATGCAAAGAAGTAACAGGTGTAAGAATGGCAAGGAAAGTGCTCTAGCTGACACTATTTGCAATTAGTGTGATCATGCACATAGAAAATCCAACAGAATAACAGGGATAACATGAGAACCAACGCTAGAGTGCAAGGTTGTGGGACTGAAGGTCAGCCTACGAAAACCAACGGCATTCCTCTACAGTAGCAATAACTGACCAGAAGAAAATACAGATATTCAAAGTAACAACCAAACTGTAAAGCGTCTAGGAATTGACTTAACTAAGAAAAGACTTCTGATGGGTGACACATTATACAGAGAACACAGAAGATGGTCTGAAAAAAATGGAGAGGCATTCCATGGTCTTGATGGCGATAACTCAGTATTATAAAGATGTCCATTATCCTAAATGAACTGGTAGTTGCAATAAAATGCCAGTTAAAATTCCAGGTAATCTCAATTTTTTGAGAAGTTCAGTAAACTTCTATGGGGAAGAAAATGTCCATGAATAATAAGGTCAACCTTAAAAAAAAAGTGTAAAGAGGAGGGAATCTGCCAAAGCAGACATGAAATCACTACAAAACCACAGTGACGAAGACTGGACGGTAAAGCTCAGGAATAGACGGAGAGACCAAAGGAAACAGAAAAGCAAGTTGAGAGAGAAACCCACGTAGATACACTTTAACAGGGACTTGATGTGTGCTGACATGGGCACCACGAACCAATAAAGGAGGAAGGTTTCATGCTTCTGGGAAACAAGAAAAAGAAAACTAGATCCCTAACTACATACAAAAGTGAACTCTAGATGGATCCAAGACTTACATGTGAAAGGTACAAGTTTGGCGCTAGAAGAGGAAAATATTGGGAAATGTCTTTGTGACCTGGAGGAGGAATGGGGGAAGAACTTTTTAAACAAAAAGCACAAACCATAAGGCAAATAATTGATGAATTTGATTACATCCTCAAAAACCTAAAGACGGAAATATCATTCGACTCAGCAATCCCATTACTAGGTATATACCCAAAGGAATATAAATCATCCTATTACAAAGACACATGCACGTGTATGTTCATTGCAAAACTATCCACAATAGCAAAGACATGGAATCAACCTAAATGCCCATCAGTGATAGCTGGGATAATGAAAGTGTGGTACATATATGCTATCGAATACTATGCAGCCCCAGAAAAGAACGAGATCATGTTCTTTGCAGGGATATGCAAACTGACACAGGAACAGAAAACCCAATTCTACATGTTCTCATTTATAAGTGGGACCTAAATGATAAGAACACATGGACGCATGCAGAGGAACAACACATACTAGGGCCTATCGGAGGGCTAAGGGAGGGAGAGGATCAGGAAAAATAACTAATGGGTACTAGGCTTAGTACCTGAGTGATGAAATAATCTGTATGACAAACCCCCATGACACGAGTTTACCTATGGAACAAACCTGCACTTGTACCCTTGAACTTAAAAATTAAAAAAAAAAATTAAAATGTAAAGATTCTTGTTCAGCACGATAAAGCTGACTCTGGACAAAGTTAATAGAAAGAGTACACAATGGTAAAGGGGACTTTAGTACTTAAAATCAACAGAGGATTCATTTCTAGAACTTGCAAGGAATTCTTACAGAGCAGTAAGAGACAGTAATTCCAACAGAAAAAAATGGCCAAAAGATATAACTGATCATTTACCTAAGAAAGAAAACCAAAAGGATAGAAAAAGAGAATCAAAATCATTAAGAATATAATAAAAATGAAAAAAAATGATATAACACTTAACGCTTATCAGGATAGCACAAAAAAAATCTTTTAAAGAAGTTGAAAAATGTGAGGATTTGGAACCTGCATGGCTATCAGAGGAACATGGATAATACAACTGAATAGAAGAAGTAAAATAAAGTAAATGATTATTCAACTCAAAAGGAAGAAAACAGAAAACTTCAAAATAAACTGTCATAAATTAATAATAGAGATGAAAATCGAATTTAATAAATAAAACCCACAAAAATGTGGAATTTCTAAATAAAATTAAGAGTTATTTGAAAATGTAACATACACACATCACTAGAAAACATATCTCTATAAGGGGAAATAGGCTTAGAGAATGCTTTAAAAGGTTAATAAATTACTTTATGCAACTTTCCTTAATGAATAAAAATATCTCTGAGATGGATTGTCTTTCTATTAAGATGTAAATTATAAAAATCAACTTTAGAATTAATTCATTTAAGAAATATTTATGGAATAACTAGTATGTGCCAGTTTCTTTTTGTTGTTGTTTCTTTTCTGGTAGAGATGGGGTCTTGCTATGTTGCCCAGGCTCGCCTCAAACTTCTGGGCTCAAGAGATCTTCCTGTCTTGGCCTCCCAAAGTGCTGAGATTACAGGTGTGAGCCACCATGCCCAGCCAGTATGTGTCAGCTTAAAAAAAAAAATAGAAGGCTAGAACTGACCAATAACCATAGAAGAAATGGAGAAAAAAAGCTGTCAAAAATTATACACTGTAATATAATATTTACAGTACCATAACCTTTTTTTTTTTTTCTTGAGACAGGGTCTTACCCAGGCCAAAGTGTAGTGGCATGATCTCAGCTCTCTGCAACCTCCACCCAGTGGGCTCAAGTGATCCTCCTGAGTAGCTGGGACCACAGGTATGCAACACCACGCCTGGTTTTTTTTTTTTTTGTATTTTTAATAGTGATGGGGTCTTGCCATGTTGCCCAGGCTGGTCTCAAATTCCTGGGCTCAACCAATCTGCAGGCCTCAGCCTCCCAAAGTGCTGGGATTATAGGTGTGAGCCACAGCTATATATAGGTGACCCACAACACATTATTGTGCCACCAAGCCTGGCACAATAATTTATTGATTAGCTTAACACACATTTCAAGTGTCAGAATTCTAAGGGTCAAGAATTGTGCTAGGGGCTGAGGACACAGTTTTGAATAAGATACTTAGCTTGGTGGGCTTAAGGACCAAAAAGGAGATCAAATCTGTGGAGCCCCATGAGACAGTGGCAGGTGGACTGCTAAGACTAGGGAGGTGGTGAGGGTCAGATCATGAGGGCCTCATGGTCCACAGAGAGAAATTTCTATTTTCCTCTGAAAGCAGTGGGGAGCCATTAAAGGGTCTTAGTAGGACAGTAACATCATAGAATGTTTTTTCAAAAGCTCAGCTCAAGCCTATAATCCCAGCACTTTGGGAAGCTCAGGCAGGAGGATTGCTTGAGCCCAGGAGTTTGAGACCAGCCTGGGCAACATGGTGAAACCCCATGTCTACAAAACATTTTTTCTTAAATAGAAGAAAATTTAGTGGGACAAGAAAGGGAATGGAGAGGCCAGTTAAGAAACTGCTGCAGGAAGATGGTGGCGTGGCCTGGGATGGAGTCCATGCAGCTAGCAGGCTGTGAATAAATGAGACATATTTTACAGAAAGAGCCAATAAGACCTGCTGGTTGAGTGGATGGAGGAGTGAGAGTTGCCCGGGTCTGGGACTTCCATAACCAGGGAGATGGCGGTGATGCCATCTACTGAAATAGGACAAACTGGTGGAGGGTCATGCCTGGGAGAGAAAACCAAGAGTTTCAGTATAGACATGTAAACTTTGCCACACCTATGAGACATTCAAGTGGGAGTATCAATTTAAGCAATTGTTATAGGAATCTGTAACTCAGTAGAGATAAACATTTGGGCGTCTTCACCTGAGATGTAGTGTTTAGAGCCAATGGGATAAAGGGTCAAAATTCAATGCTAGTACACAGGTGGGCACACTTAGCCACCCTGCCATGGCACCCTCCTCTCACACAGGTGCCAAAATCTAAAAAAACAGCACCCAACTTATTTTAACAGTTTAGTAAAAGAAGAATACATTATGACCAATATGGATTATTTTAGGAATACAAGAATGGTTGAAAATCAGGAGCTCTATTAATAGGTTAGGAAGAAAAGATTTTCTTCAGATGTTGAAAAGTTTTCAATGAAAATCAATATCATTCCTAAATTTTTAAAAATGTAAGCTATTTTTAAAACGTTTCTATAGAACTGGAAGGATAGTCTCTTTCCATCATAAAGAAATGCTGTCACAAACACAAAGCCCAAGATATCATAATTTTAAGAGGAAAGGCATTCCCATTAATGTGGTGAACAATAATCTATTGCTTTTATGCTATTAGGTTGTTCTATAAATTCATCTAGGTATAATTTTTTTACCTGGAAAATCTCAAAAAATGTCTTAGAATAAATACATGAGCTCAACAGGGTGGTAGTTTTTCAAATCAACAAATCAAAACTCAGTGAGTCCCTAAATCAGCTGTAGTTAAACATTTCATGGGGAAAAACATTCATTCATAATGGCAGTAAGAATTGAAAATATCTAGGATTTAACCTGAAAATAAGTAGTAGGCAAGCTACAAAATTTTACTGAGACATAAAAGAAGACTGGAAAAAGAGAAAGACATACAATGTTTTTTGTTTGGGAAACCAATATTGAAAGATACCAAGTCACCAGCAAATAATCTACAAAGTAAACACAATTTCAGTCAGAATTCAAAGGTAATTTTATAACCCCCTGTTTGCTTTGGATCTCTTAGATTTTTGGACGGGAGATTTAGAAAGAAAATAAATAAGGAGGCATCAGACTTACACTTCACTTAGACCAAATGGATCCAAACAGACAAATACAGGACATTCCATCCAACAGCTGCAGAATACACATTCTTCTCAACAGCACATGGAGCATGCTCCAAGACAGATCATATGTTAGGCCATAAAACAAGTCTTAACAAACTTAATTAGACTGAAATCGTATCAAGTTTTTTTTCTAAGCATGATGGTATAAAACTAGAAATTAATAACAGGAGAAACCAGCATTATCCTGATGTCAAAGTCCCACAAAAACACACAAGAAAATGGCAGTATAGGCCAATATCCCTGATGAACATAGGTGCAAAAATTCTTAACAAAATTCTAGCGAAGCAAATTCAACAGCTCATTAAAAAGATCATTTACTATGATACAGTGGGATTCATCCCAGGGCTGCAAGGATGGTTCAACATACACAAATCAATAAGTGTGATACATCACAGTAACAGAGTGAGACAATAACCATACGATCATTTCAATAGATGCAGAAAAAGCGTTTGACAAAATTCAACATTCTTTCATGATAAAAACTCTCAATGAATTAGGTGTAGAAGCATTGTACCTCAACACAATAAAGGCCACATATGACAAGGTCACAGCTAACATCATACTTAATGGTGAAAAATTGAGAGCTTTTCCTCTTAGATCTGAAACGAGACAAAGATGCCACCTTCACCCAATTTTAGGATTGTTTTTTCTATTTCTGTGAAGAATGTCATTGGTATTTTGATAGGGATTCTATGGAATCTGTAGGTCACTTTGGGTAGTATGGACATTTTAACAACATTAATTATCCCCCCATGAGCACAGGCTATCTTTCTATTTGTGTCTCCTTGAATTTCTTTCATCAGTGTTTTATAGTTTTCAGTGTAGAGATCTTTCACCTTCTTGGCTAAATTTATTCTGAAATATTTATTTTGTAGCTATTGTAAATGGCACTTTCTTTTTATTTCTTTCCTGATAGTTCACTGTTGGCATATAGAAACACTACTGATTTTTGTATGTTAATTTTGTATCCTGCAACTTTACTGAATTTATTAGTTCTAATGGTTTTCTGGTGGAGTCTTTAGGGTTTTATAAGTGTAAAATCATGTCGTCTCCAAATAGGAACAATTTAACTTTTTCCTTTCAAATTTGGATGCTTTTTATTTCTTTCTCTTGTCTAACTGTCCTGGCTAGGACTTGCAGTACCATATGTTGAATAGAACTAGTGCGTGTGAGCATTCTTGTCTTGTTTCAGATCTTAGAGGAAAAGATCTCTTTCTAATTTTGTACACAATACATATAATCTTATCTGTCAAAGAAAAAATAAATAAATTTGAAAAAGAATTCAAAAGAGATTTTAAAAGACATTATGAAATTATACTCAAAACTTAAAAGACTGAAGAAAATTTTTAATGAGAAGATAATCAAGGGTGCACTTGACCTGCCAGGTGTCAGAGTGCAAAGCTACAATAAGATCACATGGCATTGGTGCATGAGCAGAATGGCAAAACAGCGGAACTAGAGAGAGGGTACTAAAAAATCTATAAATTACCCCGTTCATCTTATTCCCATTTATAGATGGGGAGTGAGAGTCAGAGCTAGTAAGAACTTATCCCAAGGTTGTAAGAGTCCAAGGTGTTGGAGCTGAGATCCAAATATAGGCACTAAAGCCTTCTAGCCCATAAAACACATTACAACTTGAAGCTTAATTAGTTACATCGGGAAGGGGCAAATGTCAAACAACCCCCGACCTTCACCCCATAATGTCCCTTGTCTCTTCTGAGCTAAGTAAATTCCCTTGTTATATTTTAATTTTCTGAGGTTCATAAAGAACTTGATGTAAGCTGAAAAAAATTTTGCACAAAAATTGGGGGTAGGGGTTTCTCACTGGCACCTAGAAACCACAAACTGAACAGAGCAAAGGGTCCCCAACCTGGTCCATGATCAGAATTACCTGAGGAGCTTTTAAAAAACAACATTGCTGGAACCCATCACAAGCCAGTCAGAGAGTGCCTAGCGATGGGATTTGGGAATCTATAAAAGCTTCTCAGGGAATTGGCACCCGTGATCAGGCTTCAGTGCTAGGTCCTCAGGGGTCTAATCTTCAACATTTATAATGCTTTTCACTGAAGGATTACCTCCCTTAAAGTGATCACACAATACTGTAACAGTTTAAGTAGAATGCAGTTGGAGAAAAAGGAATGGTTAACACATCGACAAAAAAAATTCTCCTAGCTGTGAGAATTGCTGCACACACTATTCACTTAGGAGTTATTTTATAATGCTGTAGCCATCACTGGGTTAGATACAGACATGTTTTGAATGTTTAATATGCAGCAGTTCACAGTGGATATAGTTGCCTTGGAAGAAGAAATAAGATCTGAAAAGGGAGAATGGACGAAGTAAGTTAAAACTGAAGTTCAGAGAATCTTTCACCTTGGTTTGGCTAGTTGGTTGACAGCCATGTTCAGTGTCAGTGTGGTGCAGAAACTTCTGTTATGTTATTATTGTTATTTGATTACATTATTTTTAAAATGGCTGCTCCCTTACATAATTCAGCATAATTCTAAAAATCTGTGGCCATTTCTCTGCAAAATTAAGCTGATTTTACAAGAAATGATGATGCAATGAGGTGTCAGTCACACAGATGCACCCGAGTGGCCTCTGGATCAAGAGCTTGTGATCACAGCCTTTCCTGACCCTCATTTTCTGTGACATTTGGTGACTTTCAACCTTCCTAAGACCACAGAGGTTCTGCAGGATATGTACAATCTGTTGTGGTTCAGCTAAACTAGATTTGTGCCTCCAGGAAGACGGAAAGCTCAGACATGGCTGAAATTGTTCAGTTTTGAAAAATATTCAGGAGTCCTTAAAAACAACAACAAAAAACTAGAATTGATAAATGAATCTAAGAACTGATTCTTAAAAAAACCCAATACACAAATTACTAAATCATTAATCAACTAAAAAAATGGAAAAATATTTGAAAAAGGAAACAACGTTGGCTAAAAATCTTTTATTCTAAGTAGCAAATATAACAATCTCTCCTTTCTCTTACAGAAAACTGTGGGTCCATTTCATCTAAAAAATTAAAACCTGTGAACTATTTTTTAAACGCCCTTAGTGAGAGCAATATATTCACCAAAGGAAAATTAAGATCACCGACAATTTCAATGAAAACGTCCATTTTCTGTGCTTTTCCTTTCAGATTTTTCACATATGCGTTCACGTTAGAGTAAGCAGGTGCAGTTAATAACCCACTTTTTTACTTGTCAGTTTTTCCCCACATATCACAGGCTCCAAAATCATGATTTTTAGTGGTTACATAATGTTCATTTCAGTTAATGTGTCATAATTTTCTTAGCTACTGCCCTGGTGTTATACATTTAGGCTCTTTTCCAGGTGTTCTAATTTTAGATCATTCTGCTAGGAATACATGCCTGTTTTTGTTTGTTTGTTTCTTCCATTGCAGGTAAGTTCTCAGGAGTGGGGTTTCTGGGTCACAGCTTCCAGCTTCTTAATGCATCACCAGATTGCTTAACAAAATGTTT
The DNA here is from genome assembly GCF_000001405.40 of Homo sapiens. Taxonomy (NCBI): domain Eukaryota; kingdom Metazoa; phylum Chordata; class Mammalia; order Primates; family Hominidae; genus Homo; species Homo sapiens. Next base: position 4,688,454 of record NC_000020.11, on the reverse strand, counting down.
GTCACTGGTTCGAAATGCCCCCAATAACTCATACATACAGACGCAGAAAGTAGCTATCATTTCCTCCATTCTATGAATGGACAAAAGGAGGATCAGGAAATTAGGTAGCCTGTCCAAGGTCACAAAATTGACTGCAGAACCATCTTTGTGACCCCAAAGCCCTGCCACCTCCCCAGACACTTGAAAATGCCAAGTTTTGGGCAACCTTCCAGCAAGGGTTGCTGTTACTATTAATTATTTTGGTTATTTTAATAGATGTAAAATGATAACCCAAACATGCTCTAATTTGCATTTTATTGTGTAAATGACTCATCATTTTGCCATTTATCTATTATAATCTTAATATTTTCCTTTCGGTGTGGAAGACTTGTGTTAGATATAAATAACATACAAATCACATCCTACCCCTCTGCCTGCTTTTCCCCTTACTGGTTAGCTTTTTTTCACTGTAAGACCTTCTCTGTGTTTGTGTAAGTAAAATTGCTCCTTTCCACTGGTGATTTTTTCCTTTCTTCTACAAATCTAAGAGCGTTGTTGATTTTTCCAGAAGTTTAACATATTTATCCAATTCCCTGTTCCTATGTTTTTGATAATTATATTTGTAAAAATCCTTAATCCTATTCTACCAGGAGTTTTCCCTAAGGAAACGGGAAACACTTCAAATCATATGGGGAACTGCTAATTAAACCGTGATGCTCTCAGAACAAGAAAATAACGCGGCCATGAAGATCCTCATCATTACAGCAGTGAAACTGCACTGTGTTGTGTGAGAATCTGGAGGCTAGGAAACAAAAACGGAGAGCTGTGGCTCTGCGATGGCGAGGATGGATGTGACCGTGGTGGAATTGCGAGGTTAAAAAAAAAATCTATTTCCTACAGCCACCTCAAAGAGAAGAGCAAAAAATTCCTTAAAAAGGACAGTAAACATGGATTTCTCCCCATTGTTTAATAATGAAACGTGAAGGCGCCTGCCGCACAGGTGGGGAGACCGGTGACCCAAGGGTCGTCATCCGAGGCTGGTTGTTCCTTGGAGCCCCCCATGGCCAGCGTTCTCCCTCCAGGGGGACTGGGAGGAATGTGACTGGCCAAGCTGGGGTCCGCCATCGCACCTGGGGCCAGGCCGCAGACCTGCAGCTCCTCTCTCCCCGCCCCTGGAGAACAGAGGGTGGGGCCTCCCCGGACCCCGCCCCCGCCGAGGCCCGAGGCCCCGCCCCCGCCCGTCAGTCCGCGTGGGCCGCTTCTCCAGGCGGTGGCAACGGCCGCAAGGCTGCAGCCCCCCTCGGAGAAGCTCAGGCGGCGAGGATGAAGGGCTGGGCCGCCTCCCGGGAGGAACGCTGCAGCTGCGGCGGGAGGCACCGAGGCTCCCGGAACTCCCCCGGCGGGCGCCCCTCTCTCCATCCCCCCAAGCACCCTCTGGGCATCGCGGAAGCGCCAGGCCTTGCCAAGGGGCGTTCTGGGCCCCGATCTCGGCCTCCGAGGGGCGGCCAACGGGCGGGGAGCGCGAGCCCCGCGGCCCCCAGGCGCCCCTCCCCGCCCCGCGCCCTGCGGAGCCCGCTGGCGGCCCTCCCGGAGTTCCCTGGGCGCCAGCGATCGCCCGCTGGGCCGGACCCGCGCGGGGTGCAGGGGGCGCTGAGACACCCCGGCGCCACCGACCTCCCTAACGGGGCTCCGCCAGCTCCCCCAGCCCCCCAACGCGCAGTAAAGGGAGCTTTCCTAACCTGAAAAGCGAAGCCAAGCCGCCTCACCCGAGCGGAGACCAGCGCAGCCGGGCAGGCCCGAGACGCGTCACGCGCCCGCGGGGCAGCCCCCGGCCCCTCCTCACTGGGGTCCCGACCCCGCCCGGCCGGGCACCCTTGCGCCTGGGACCCGAGGCCCGGGGTCCTCACTCGGCCCCCGCGGCTCCCCTGCCCCCGCCCGCGTTCCTCCCACCCCGGGCGTTTACCTGCCTCGGTCGTGAGGAGAGGAGAAGCTCGCGGCGCCGCGGCTGTCAGCGACTGGCTCGGAGGACAGGCGACGCGCGGGGCCGAGGGGGAGGGACGCGGGGCGGGGAAGGGAAGCGGCGGCGCTCGCGGGCGGAGGTCGGCGCGGGGACCAATTGCCGCGCGGCCCGGCGCACACTCTGTGCCCCCGGCGGGCGGCCGGCCGAGGTTTAAGTTAAAGGGTGCAGCGCTGCCAAGCAGGGCCGGGAATGAGTCACCGGAAAAAACGAGTTGAGATTCGCTTGAACACTTGCATCAGTTGATACCGCCTGCGGGTGCCATCGCTCCCTGACGTGGCTCATTGACTGTAAAAATCATCTTTAATTGGAAATTCGGCCCAAAGCTCCAGCTCCCCGTTACATAATGGAGAAATCGAGAAAATGAAAGGCTCAGGAATGAGGAAGCAATTTCTGGAACTTTGGCAACCAGAAATTTCTAAAGAGGAGAGCAAAAAATTTTGCTTAACCTGGATTGAGATTAATATTTATGAATTTTCACATAAACTCTTAAATTTTGAGGCGTAGAAAGGACACTGACCATCACCTGTTCCTTCCTTCATTCACTTTCTACTCCTTGTTTTAGGCAAGAGATGATTTAGGTGGTGATATTAACAAATGAGAAAAATGCGCTCCGTTTAAAAACCCGTGTTTGCACATTACCTGAGATATCTTCTATGAAACAGGGTGGTGTGTTCTTGCGCAGGATTCCTGCTGACAACTGTCTCATTTTAAAGGAGAGCGAAGGATGAAGTGATAGAAGGACAGGATTTAGAGGGAGGGGGATCTTATAAATTATTACCCAAATTGGGCACTTTTAAAGTGAAATGGGCGTAAACCAGGCATGCCCTGGGGAAAATAGGACATCTAGTCTCCTAGTTTTGGGTGAGAGGTTTAGGAAGCATGTAAGGAAAGAGATTTAAGAATGTTGACAGCCAGGTGCAGTGGCTCAGGCCTGTAATCCCAGCACTTTCAGAGGCCAAGGCAGGAAGATTGCTTGAGCTCAGGAGTTTGAGACCAGAGTGAGCAACATAGTGAGACCCCATTTCTACAAAAAATAAAAAAAATTGCTGGGAACGGTGGCACAGTCCTGTAGTCCCAGCTACTGGGGAGGCTGAGATGGGAGGATTGCTTGAGCCCAGGAGGTAGAGGCTGCAGTGAGCTTTAATTGTGCCACTGCACTCCAGCCTGGGCCACAGGGCTATAGGCCAAGACCCTGTCTCACTCTTTGTCTCTTTACAAAAAAAAAAAAAAAAGCTGAGGCTGCATTGTAAACATATGTGCATCAAATATTTGCATCTCAGGACCAATCACTGTCACTCAAGTTGCAGGGGAGGGGTACAAATGGCGAGAGACAGGAGAAGCCAGGAGAATGCACAGAGGAGAGCTGCTGTAAACAGTGCCTGGGCCATGTTTATGTGAGTGTGGGTGAGCACTTGAAAGGTCTGCTGGGAAAGGGCAACCAGGAGGCCTGGAAAGCGCCGCCTTTGGAGGGAGCTGACTCAGTGCAACAGGGAGGACTGGATTGTGGCCAGTTAGAATGAGCACTAGGCAGCGAGGCCATTTTACAACCTATCAGTGTTATGTAATGCTTAGGTTGACATCGCATTCAGAGCCTTACCTCCTTTCCTCAGAGATGGCTCACTGGGAGATGAATTCAGCGGGCAGCACAGTGTCTCTTTGAGTCTCCTAGAGGCTCAGGGCCTGCAGGGAGGACAGAGCTGGGTGGGAGGACAGAGCTGGGGTGGGGCTGGAAGTAGGTGACCAGATCAGCCTAGGCAAGGGGCTGGCTGCCCACTGGCAGAAGGCGCTCTGTGAAGCTTGGTTCCAAGACGCTAAAACCCATCTTTTCCTCAAAAGAATTGTATTTTCTGGTCGACTGCTTTCCTCCCATCAGGAAAGGGCTCAAATGGCCTGGGATTTCTTGGAGGGAAAGAACTAGGGAACCAAAGGGGATTGACTTATGACCTATTCTGGTTATTACTGATGTGCTGCAAATACCCCACAACTTAGGTGGTTTAAAACAACTACCATTTTATTATGCCAATGGATTGTTTAAGCCAGGGAGCTGGACAGGCACAGCGGGGACTTGATTCTGCCCCATTATGTTTGGGGTGTCAGTTGAGAAGACTCTAAGTCTAGGGGTACCTTGATAGCCGGGGGTTGCAGTCATCTGAAGCCTATGCACTTGCCTGAGTGGCACCTGGGCTAGGAGGACTTGAAGATCAGATGTGCTGATTGCGGTGCCTAGCTGCGGCTTCTCTGTGTGGCCTGGTTTCCTCATGGTCTGGTGGTCTCGGCTTGGATGAACTTCTTACATGTTGGCTCAGGACTCCAAGTGTGAGAGTTTCAGCAAACAAGAAGCTGCAATGCCACTTCCTGCCTGGGCTCAGTAGTCAGGTAGCATCACTTCCACTGTATGCTGTTGACGTAACAGTTATATAGCCCCATTGCCGGGCGCGGTGGCTCATGCCTGTAATCCCAGCACTTTGGGAGGCCGAGGCCCATGGATTACTTGAGGTCAGGAGTTCAAGACCAGCCTGGGCAACATGGTGAAACCCCGTCTCCATTAAAAATACAAAAATTAGCCAGGCATGGTGATGCGCACCTGTAATCTCAGCTACTCAGGAGGGTGAGGCAGGAGAATCGCTTGAACCCGGGAGGCAGAGGTTGCAGTGAGCCAAGATGGCACCATTGCACTTCAGCCTGGGCGACAGAGCGAGACTCTGTCTCAGAAAAGAAAAAAAAAAAGTCATATAGCCCCCAGATTCAAGGACAGAGGACATGGAGCCCACTCCTCAATGGGAAGAGTATCAAAGACCTTGTTGCCAGTTTTAAAAGCTGCCACAATGGGGTTGATGGTCTGGCCTATGGATTCTTAGAGGTTTTTATTGACCTTATGAACCACTCCAAGGGTGGGCAACCCACAGGAAGTGGCTATTCAAATGGCCCTGCATAATTCCTCATTCCAAACTCACTCCCATTGCCTCTCCCATGACCACAACCACCCATATCTCACTATAAACAGTGAAAGTCGTTTTCCGGACTGGGTGGGGAGTGGGGTGTAGGGTTTGTCCTTGGAGGTCAAACCCTACTGTGTTTGCCCACAGAGCCCTATTGTGCTGAGGTTCACAGCATCATCAAGTCATTCTTTGGAAGTCTCCCTTCCCATCTCCTGTGTCCTGGCTGAAAGTGATTTGACCACATCATATAGATCCTCCTCAGCAAGTAAGGAGAAACTAAAGAAGTTAGACTCTAAATTCATCTTCTCACAAAAGGAGAATTATTTCCTCCACTTTATTGAGCACTTAGTGTGAATTAAATAGTTACAGTCTCTGACTTCAGACCTCAAAGAGGATACAGGAAGCCATACAGACAGTGACCATAGGGCCTGACAGCCCATGACAGATGTTTGGGTTTTAATAATTAAATATGATAGGAAGCCCTTGAAGATTTAAGAAGGGGAATGATGCGACATGATTTACCTTCTTCTTTTTTTTTAGATAGGGTCTCACTCTGTTGCCCAGGCTGGAGTGCCGTGGGGTGATCTCGGCTCACTACAACCTCTGCCTCCTGGGCTTAAGCTATCCTCTTACCTCAGTCTTCTGAGTAGCTGGGACCACAGGCGTGAGCCACCATGCCTGGCTGATTTTTGTATTTGTTTTAGAGACGGGGGTCTCACTATGTTGTCCAGGTTGGTTTTGAACTCTTGAGCTCAAGCAATCTGCTTATCTCGGCCTCTCAAATTGCTGGGATCACAGGTGTGAGCCACCATGCTTAGCCTGATTTACCTTCTTAAAAGTCCACTCTGGTTGTTTTGTGGGCATGAGCAGTACCTGGCTGGAGGCTTTTGCAGTGGGCTGGGGAGAGAAAATTGTGGCTTGGCCTATAGTGGTAATAGAGGACAGATTCATGACAATTTAGAGATAGACCCTCTAGATATACTATTGCTAATAGGGTAAGGAGTTGGGGAAAAGGAGGACTCGTGGATGACTTAAGTTTTTTTAATAAACAGCTGGGGGAATGGTGGAGCTATTTTCTTAAATGGAAAAAAATGGATGGCGACCAGATTTTAGAGGGAACATCTGGAGTTCCTTCCTTCCATTTGGACATGTTGAATTTGAGATGGCTGTGTAATCCCCAGATGGGTGCTGAAGATACACATTTAGAAGCTGTCAGAGTATAGATGATTTCCAGTCACGGGCTTAGATGACATCATCATGGGAGAAAATGTAGCCAGGGAAGAGAAAGGAATCAGGATTTCGTAATGAGGAATGCCCACAGTTTCGGATTAGTCCTTCTCAGTCTCTAGTGTGCATCACCTGGAAGACTTGGCTAAAACACAGATTGCTGCCTCGCCCCTCCCGGACCAGAGATTTGATTCAGCAGGTCTGGGATGGGGTCCAGGAACCTGCATTTCTAACAAGTGCCTAGGTGATGCTGATGCTGCTGGGCCAGAGACCACACTTTGAACCAGAGGAAGAGACTGAAAAGGGACAGCCAGTGAAATAAGAGGGTTCTGGAAGCTGAGAGGAGGGTGTTTCAAGAAGGCAGAGCCAGCTACTGAGAGGCCAAGTCATGTGAAGACAGGATAGTGCTCACTGGATTTGGTGACGTGGAGGTTTTTGGGGACTTGAGGAGAGCAGTTTCAATGGATTAATGGGGGCAGAAGCAAATTGAAGAGGGAATGGAAGGTGAGGGAGTAGCGACAACATTTCTGAGTTTTACCCTGCGGGGAGCAGAGGAGTGGGCAGGAGCTGGAGGAGAGGGTGGGCGCTGGAAAGGGTGTTTTGAATACTGGAGGATCCTCTTCGGGTCAGGGTACATTCAATGGTATATTTATATCTTCACAGACCTCGTTTCTTCCCTGTTTCCACTCTGCCCTACCCAAGCTGGTGTTGACAGCTGTAGCAATTTGAGGCATCACATGGCATAGCACTTCAGACAGAGGAAGAAAACAGCTAATCTGTTTGTATGGTCTTCTCTTAGGCGTTAGGAACATTTTCTCTAAAGATGTGAATCATGAATTTAAGGAGAAACTATTGCACAGTTGCTGCAGAATGGTTCCTGTCTCCCCACCCTTTAAAAGCATTCAATGCTTCCTTAATGGCTAGATTTCAGTGCCTGCAGTTAATGTTTACAGTCAAGGTATCTGTGAAACATTTCCAGTGATGCCTCTTTCTCTCTCTCTCTCTTTCTCTTTGCATTTCCCTGGGCGAAGCCCTGCAGGACCACTTGTCCTCCTTTAATTGCCTTGCTGAAGGTCTGCTTGAGTAGTTCTCTCAGCCCTGAATTTCTTGACCCTGCTTCTCTTCTGTGGAGTTCTGGCTCTGATGCATCCTTTTCTCTGAAATCCTTCCATATCTTCCCATCAGAAGTCAGCCTCCTTCCTTCTAGCTCCAGCAGCAACTGGCTTGTATCATCCAGTCCCATTTTAAACTGCTTTATTATTTAAAAATTTATTATTGGCCTGGTGAAGTGGCTCACGCCTATAGTCCCAGCACTTTGGGAGGCCGAGGCGGGTGGATCACCTAAGGTCAAGAGTTCAAGAACAGCCTGGCCAACATGGTGAAACCCTGTCTCTACTAAAAATACAAAAATTAGCTGGGCGTGGTGGTGCATGCCTGTAGTCCCAGCTACTAAGGAGGCTGAGGCAGGAGAATCGCTTGAACCCAGGAGGCGGAGGTTGCAGTGAGCCAAGATTGTGCCACTGCACTCCAGCCTGGGTGACAGAGCAAGACTCCATCTCAAAAAAAAAAAATTATTATTTAAAGCCCTTTTGGTCTTTAACTGGACTATAAATTCCTTGGGAGATGACTCCTAGTGCTTTGCCCGGGAAAATCAGTTAAATGGTATCCTGAATATGGGGCAACCTCTCCCATCCACTCATATTGCTTTTCTTCCTATTTTCTCCTTGGTGTCTAGAAAAAAATTTCCTTTTCTCTTTCTAGCCATTTCTAACTGTCTAGGCGGGTCTGAGGTATCTCAGTTACCCGAGACAATTTCAGCATCACCTGGAACCTGTGTGGCACTTGGGCCCTCCTCCACTGGACTTCTTCTGCATCACAGCTTTTATGAAATGGTCTGATTTTTTCTGATCTTCTTTGTTCCCACCCTGGGCTTGGCTTCTGACTTTATTTTTCTGGGAACCAGAACCTTCCTGTGTCTTTACTGGCAGTTCCTGAGGCCATGGTAATTTTCTTGTCCCTGATACCAGTGAATGATCCGCAGCTACCCTCATTCAGCCCCTTCCTCGGTGTGTGCCTAAAAGGTTTCTTTTTATGTAGATTCCGCATAAGGCATATCAGTGTGATTCAAATTGACACAACCAAGGGAGGGGATGCCACGTGAGGAGAGGCTTTTCCTTTCTTGCTTTATTAGATCCATGAGGTAGGTAAAGGCTTTATAATGCACTTCAATGCCTGGTAGGACTCATATCACCCATTACTTTCTCTTTGTTTCAGAATATTTTCTGATTTTTTTTTTCTTAGATGGAGTCTCGCTCTGTCACCCAGGCTGGAGTGCAGTGGCACAATCTCACTGCAACCTCCACCTCCTGGGTTCAAGCGATTCTCCTGCCTCAGCCTCCTAACTAGCTGGGATTACAGTCATGCACCACTATGCCTAGCTAATTTTTGTGTTTTTAGTAGAGACTGGGTTTCACCGTATTGCCCAGGCTGGTCTCGAACTCCTGACCTCAAGTGATCTGCCCGCCTCAGCCTCCCAAAGTGCTGGGATTACAGGCATGAGCCACTGTGCCCAGCCCGATATTCTTGCTTATTTCTCTTTCCAGATTAATTTTGTAATCTTGTCAAATTCCATGATACCTATGGTTGGGTTTTTTTATTGAAATGGCATTGCACTTAAGAATAAATTTGTGAAGAATCATCATCTTTATGTAAAATGTATTGCTCCTATATCCAGGAAATAATACAAATGTTTACTCAGTTGGTTTTGTGTACCTCCCAAGAGAGTTGTGGCAGATGCTGTCGATACCTTGTCCTGTGTCCCCTTGGCCCATCTGAGTTCACCTGTAACTAAGGCTTCCAGAATGCTGATGCCTTCCCACCCTGATGCCTGCCTCTCTCTTCTCTGCCTGAGGACTTTTTCTGGCATCATCTGAACTTGCCCTACTCCCCCTAGAAGCACCCCCAAAGTGTGTGGTGTCAGGGGTCCCAGGGCAGTTCTCCCCAGTGGGAGATGGGAGTCTGTGGATAAATGCTCCAACTCCTCACTCTTGCAGCTGGATGACCTGAAGTGTGCTACCACCCTCTATCTCGTAGAATGTTCTGTGGGGGGTGAAGCCCCAGTTGCTCACAGTAGTTGATCCATTACCACACCTGCACATGTGTGGATATTAAAAATGGAAAGAGTTGTAGCACATGAACCTTAGAAGCTGCTGGATTTCTAGGGAAACAAAGGAGTGAAAAGGGTGTTTTCACTTATGCTTGGGGCACTACCTGGCTTGGGGGTGGGAAGTCCCTGGGGCATCCTGAGGCTTCCAGAACCTCCACGGTGGTGACTGTGGGGTGGCCTATGAAGAGGGCCTGGCTCCAGGGGCTCGAGCCTGAGAAAGGGACTTGTTCTTCCTGGATACACATGCAGGAACATACACCTGTATTTCCACAATCCTTGGACAGGCAGACGCTGTTTTGTAGGAAACTGGGTCCTGCATTAGCAGGTGAGGAACCCAGACGTCTCCCGAATCTATCTTCAGTGCCCTAACTTTTTACTCCCAGCTCTTTACTTGGCCTTGGGGGTTGGTTGGGAGTGGGGACAATAAAATAAAGAAGGATTTATAAAGGAAGCATGTTTTATCTTCAACTTTCTTCCCCTATTTCCTCTCATTAAAACTGAATTTGCTTATGCTATCATTACACAGTGGTTATTTCCCACTACATCATGAATGGACCTTGTTGGTGATGAGTTCCTGAAAGTTTGCAGGTAATTCAAGATGTTTTTGAAATAAAAGTGTGAAAATATGTCAAAAGTGTATTAACTTTGTAAATGTACATTATATAAAATGGGCCTCTCCTTAATGAATGTATTTTGTGGGTCCATATTCTCAGATGCTAGGTTTGCAAGGGACATCTTCAAGCAGCTTTCATGTGGCTCCTGGACCTTGGGTAGCTGGGATCCCTCACACAGTGTTCTAGGAGGAGGGCAGTGCATCCTCTTAGGAGGATGTGTTCACACAGAGGGTGAACACTGCCTTCACCCTCCGTGTGATTGTTCTTCATTAGGATGGCAGCATCCTGAGGCCCTCTGAGCCTCCTCCCTCAGCTAGATCTTTGTCTTGTTACTTTGAGTGTTGCCAGCCAGGGTCAGCTTCCAGGCTTGCTGTCCTGACCACACAGTTCTTTCCCTCCAAACCCTTGGTGTTCAAAACACTTACTAATGGCGTGTCACATGTTAAAATTCTAACTCTCTATCAACTTCTATCCTCTATCTTGTTTTCAGCTTTGTTTACTCATCCTGTGGTATTTTCTTGAGAGACTCTATTCTCTATCTTGTTTTCAGCTTTGTTTACTCATCCTGTGGTATTTTCTTGAGAGACACACAAAGATTTTAATGGTTTTCATTTTTCTGATGGACTGTTATTTCTTTGAATCGGACTTTATGGCAAGGCTGACCTGAGAGCAGGGCTGTCTTTAGGTTAAGTTATAATTGCCTGACTGGGACAACAATGGGAAATACCCCCACATTTTTAAATGAGTGACATCTGAACAGAAGTTAATAGCATGTAATGGAAACAAAATCAAATGGCAAAATTAACAACATGAAAGTAAAAATGGTCAGAAGTGATGTCAAAGCTCATACACAGTAGTGTTCTTTTTTTCTTGTTCTTGTTCTTGTTCTTTTATTGAATAAAGCAAATGAGACAAACCAGGATTGGAAATGCTGCCATTTGAAGCAATCTGGAAAGTTACTCTGAAAATTCTGGCTTATACTTGTTCATATTTTGCTTTTGATTTTTCTGCCAGGGAGAAGCATCTTGAGACTGCAAAGGGTAGAATGCGCACTGGGTCAGAGGGAAATGGAAGCTCAAATGGGCTGAGGGAGGAGGCAGAAACTTTCATTTGTGTTAAATGCATTCAGGTCTCCAGGTCTGTTGGATCATATCTTAAGGAAGTAACAATTTGTGCATGACAATGGAGTGTCATACCTGTGGCTCAAGCCTCACACGCAAACCTCTACCTTCTTAGAAATGGTTTGTCTGAGATGACAAAGTATTAACCCTAATCCACAAATAATATAAAATGGTGCTACGGTTTGAATGTGTCCCCTCCAAGATCCAGGCATTGAAACTTTTTTTTTTTAGACGGAGTTTCGCTCTGTTCCCCAGGCTGGAGTGCAGTGGCATGATCTTGTCTCACTGCAACCTCTGCCTCCCGGGTTCAAGTGACTCTCCTGCCTCAGCCCCCCAAGTAGCTGGGATTATAGGCACGTGCCAACACACCCGGCTAATTTTTGTATTTTTTAGTAGAGACAGTGTTTTTGCCATGTTGGCCAGGCTGGTTTCAAACTCCTGACCTCAGGTGATCTGCCCGCCTCAGCCTCCCAAAGTGTTGGGATTACAGGTGTGAGCCACCACACCCGGCCCAGGCATTGAAACTTAATGGCCCATGGGACAGTATTAGGAAGTGGAGGCTTTAAGAGGTGATTCAGTCACAAGGATTCTTTCCTTGTGAATGGGATTCAGGCCCTTTTAAAAGAGGCTTCACACAGCAGCGTCTGGCCCTCTTGCCCTTCTGCCTCGTGCCATGTGAGGACACACTGTTCCTCCCCGCTAGACGATGCAGCATCAAGGTGCCATCTTGGAAGCAAAGAGCAGCCCTCACCAGACACCAAACATGCCAGAGTCTTGATTTTGGACTTCCCAGCCTCCAGGACTGTGAGAAATAAATTTCTGTTCTTTATACATGTGTCTCAACCATTCCAGATGTTGAGGATTTGAATTTATTTCCATAAGTCTCAAAGTCTTTGGTGATGCAGGTGGTGCTGCTGAAATGTTACAAATCAACATGTGGGTTTCTTGTTTGGCTAAAAAATATCTCCGGATTCCAGATGATACAAAGTTGGGGTTAGAGTATTAGGGAGCATCGATAGCAAGATAAAGAAAGCCACTCAGCCTGGCTTGAGTTAAATGAAGTTTGTTATAATAAAGCAACAGATGGCAACCACCACGGAGTGGGCAGCCAGGCCTTGTCAACCTAAATAACAAACATTTTGAAAAGAAAATGATATTTATTTGGGAATAGGCATTGCGATGGAAATGCATGTACTATAATACACTATGTACCTATTCAGGGAGGTAAAGGAAGACAAGGGTTTTTAGAGGAAAAATAAGGAGGGTTACATAACTGTTTTGGGTTAATTATCCTTGACTACAAGGTTCAATAACGAGGGTAGCACCAGTCTGAGGTTGGACAGGCAGTTGCTGGGCAGATGTCCTTGTAGAGGTATTTTTTTGCGTAAGGTTGAGATGGACTTTGTGCAAGGTTGTGATTTTTGCAGTCTTGCAATAGTTTTTGTACATGACAACCCTCTCTTCAAGGTCTCGTCTGGCTCTGTTTGTTGGGATTTTTAACATAGGTGACTTCATTTTGATTCTGAGAGCTTTCACAGCCTCATGTCGCAGTATTTAAAACACTTGCTCCCCACTCTCTCCTCCTTTTATAGGATCATTGAAGTTATTTTTTCTTGTAAAAGCAATACATATCAAATAGACATATTAGAAAATATAGATAAGACTAAAGAAAAGAATAAAAGAAAATGAAGAAAATATCTAAAATATTTATAAAATATTCATAAGTCTATCCCCTTCATATTACTTTTATGTATACATATAATTTTTCCTTACCCAAATACAATCATAATTTTTGAGCTAGGCTCCACCTCCACCCCATATCACAATATATTCTGCAACAATATTTTAATGGCTGCATAGTATTCAGCCATTTAATGGCTGTATATCACATAGCTGGGAAGAACATCCCTGTAGTTAAATAAGTTGTCAGGAGTAGAAGGTGCAGAAAAGATGGGCATATTTTTAAGCTTTTGAGGCATGCAGCCAAAGTGGTTGCACCAATTTAGATTCCCACAAAAGCGTGCTCTGAATATCCCAGCATGATATTATCACTTTTTTCCTAATTATTACCAATTTGATAAGTGAAAATAGCATTTGTTTTAGTGACTGATTAAAGCTTTTTGATTGCTGTAAAGTTAATTGTGAAACCCTGGCTTTTACAAAGAACCTCAAGAGACAAAGTGAGGAGGAAGCATATTCGAACAATTTTTAAAGTCACCGGCTACTGGCTTCTTGGTCTTTTTTCGCTGTCTTATCTGGATAAGGAACCCAGCTGCTCCTGTAATTGATTTAACACCCCATGTTTCTGGTTACCTATGTGAGTGCTGATGTATTCATCTTGGAATATTCTCAAGTTATTTTCCCTTTATAAATGAACCAGAGAAATATGTGAAATTATGATAGAAAAGTTTAGAAAGTTGAGAATTTCTTTCTGGTCAGACATCTGTGAGAAATTATCTCTATTATCTTTGAAATTCTTCTTTCTTATTGTGTAATATACTTTGCTGAGGCAAGGTTTTCTCTTTCAATGCATTCTTTGTTTATAAGAAACTAAGTCAGTTGCAATAATTCTGTTGGACAATTTTCTTGCTTTCTGCTCCATCTTTTTTTCTCTAAAGAACAGATAAAAGAAATGAGAAAGAATAAGAATGCTATATTTCATTGGTATTTTTCAACTTTCTAAGATTTTGATGCTCAAAAAATTGTATAGAGGCATTCTTATGTACACACTGCTTTTATGTTTATTTGTTAGAATTGTTATATTCCTTCCCAGTAGAGAGGTACTTGCATAATATTTGTGGCATTTGTAAGTGGAAATCATATGTAACAATAATGCAAAATTACTCATAGGAAAATAACATTTCTGTGTGACCATCTGATGTTGACCATCAGAAGAGGGATTCACTTTGGGTTATTTGTCTAATGATATTGCCAGGTTTATCTTAATTTGTCCACAGCTTCTCCTAGCCTTTCTTGTCCCAAGGGCGCACATTGGCAAGAAGCTTGGGGTGGTCGGGGAAATAGTTTTTGTCCAGGAATTGAGTTAATTTGGCCCACATGACCCCCATGGTCATTTCTAAACTTCACAAAGAAAAAGTACATCATCAAAATAAATCCTAAAATTCACAATAGAACAAATATATAAATGTAGAAAACTATAGTTTCAGAACTGATTAAATAAAAGGAATCCTCAGATCAAAATGTCAGTTTTAACTATAGTGTTCACAGCTGCATGTTCCATAGCTATAAGCCACATGTGCTCTTTAAATTTACATTAAAACATTTAAATAAAACTAAAATTTAATTCCTCAATCACACCTGTCACATTTTAAGTGTTCATTAGCCACACATGGCTGATGTTGGTCAAATAACTTTTACTCTTGTTTTTTTTTAAGTTGTCTGTATACTTTGATCCTGAAAAACCTTTTTAGCTGGAGAGAGACTGTTCCCCCCTGGGCCAGCCAATTCTTAGAGATAACGAAGGACCCAGCCAGGAACGTGCCTTTGATATGAAAACAAACCAGTCCTAAACCAGACCTTCCCTATCTGGCCCATGCAGCTCAGGAAGCAATATTCCTCTGCCTTAATCATCCCAGGGCCAGGTACTAGGCAACTAGAGATCACTACTATAGGCCAAAGATCAACCAAATTATGCAAACGAACCAGTCCTAAACTGTTTACCCTGCCCTGTTCTGCTTTTCCCACTGAAACCCCAATGAAGGCTCTAGCCTCGGCTTTCTCCTCCTGTCTTTTGCTTCCTGACCACTCTGGTGTCTCTCCCATGTGGCCCTTCATGGCTTGCCATGCCTCCGGTCTCTGGGACCTGTGAGTACAAGAGACTTTGTTTTTTCCTGAGCCTCTCCTGTGTTTCCTTTTGTAGCTGCACATGCTCATCTCATAAAAGAATCAAGGGGGCCAGACATGGTGGCTCATGCTTGTAATCCCAGCACTTTGGGAGGAATTCAAGACCAGCCTGGCCAGTGTGGTGAAACCCAGTCTCTACTAAAAATACAAAAATTAGCTGGGCATGGTGGTGAGTGCCTGTAATCCCAGCTACTGGGGAGGCTGAGATGGGAGAATTGCTTGAACCCGAGAGGCGGAAGTTGCAGTGAGCCAAGATCGCACCATTGCGCTCCAGCCTGGGCAACAGAGTGAGACTCCATCTCAAGAAAGAAAGAAAGAACGAAAGAAAGAAAGAGAAGGAAGGAAGGGGAGAAAGAGAAAGAGAGAAAGAGAAAGAGAGAAAGGGAGAAAGAGAAAGAGGGAGAGAGAGGGAGGAAGGAAGGAAGGATGGAAATAAGGGAAATGCATACAGAAAGTTAACTGAAAAACAGAAGTTACATATGTTCATGTTATTCCCCAAACACACTTTAAAGAGTTGGCTTTTATTATTGTTTTATTTATTTATTTCTTTATTGAGATATAGTCTCACTGTGTTGCCCAGCTGGTCTCAAACTCCTGGGGTCCAGCAATCCTTCTGCCTCAGTTTCCTGAGTAGCTGGAACTACAGGTGCTCCCCACCCCACCTGGCTAGAGTTTATTGTTCAGGAATAAAGTTTAAGCTTTTGTGAGTGAGGAATATACTTATCCAACCCATTAGTGTTGAGCTTGTCCATGTAAATTATGCTGGCCAATGGCATGTTAGTGGACGCGGTGGGTCCAGAGGCTTGAAATGTGCTTGTTTTCTTGTTCTTCTGCCTCCATCATGAAAAGAGCCTGCCTTAGACAGCTGTTGGTCCAAAGAGGATGAAATACTCCTGGATCCAACCTGCAATTGAGATCCAAGCCTGCCAAACTCAGTCTATGTTGGCCCAATCCCAGGCAACCTGAGGATGCATGAGTGAAAATCAATTATTTGGTGTTGAATGCCAATCCATTTTGGGTTGATGTGCTATCTCATACCACGCTTACCCTTTCATCTTTTTTTTTTGAGACAGAGTCT
Source organism: Homo sapiens (assembly GCF_000001405.40). Taxonomy (NCBI): domain Eukaryota; kingdom Metazoa; phylum Chordata; class Mammalia; order Primates; family Hominidae; genus Homo; species Homo sapiens. The sequence goes on along the minus strand of NC_000020.11, from coordinate 4,672,446 downwards.
CGCTCTGTGGCCCAGGATGGAGTGCAGTGGCGCAATCTCAGCTAACTGCAACCTTCACCTCCCAGGTTCAAACAATTCTCATGCCTCAGCCTCCTGAGGAGTAGCTAGGGCTACAGGTGCCCGCCACCACACCTGGCTAATTTTTGTATTTTTAGTAGAGATGGAGTTTCACCACATTGGCCAGGCTGGTCTCAAACTCCTGACCTCAGGTGATCTGCCCACCTCAGCCTCCCAAAGTGCTGGGATTACAGGCCACCACGCCTGGCCCCTTTCATCTTTTTTTTTTGTATCAATTGTTGTCTCTGCTTTGAATATTCTCCCTATCTTTGTCCACCTGGGTGAAATCCTTGGTATACTTCCAGCTCCACATTCAAATATCACATCTGCTGTGCAATCTTTCTGGATTTGTTTTCTTCTACCATCTAAATATAGTTGTAAGAAATATTTTTTAAAAAGCACCCAAACTTTAAACAAATTTTCTACTCACACTCACTATACAATACTTCACCTCTGGTCACTGACATGTGGGATTTCTTCCCACCAAAAAAAACCCCAATTCTCTGGTAGACATCAACTAAGTGTCATACAATGTAACTCAGAGTTAGTAGGCACTGCTCCATTATCTCATTTCCTGGATAGTATTTCTTGGCTGTAAAAGTGTTCATGATTTTTTTTTTTTTTTTTTTTTTTTTTTTTTTTTTTTTTTGAGACGGAGTCTCGCTCTGTCGCCCAGGCTGGAGTGCAGCGGCGCGATCTCGGCTCACTGCAAGCTCCGCCTCCCGGGTTCACGCCATTCTCCTGCCTCAGCCTCCCGCGTAGCTGGGACTACAGGCGCCCGCCACCACGCCCGGCTAATTTTTTGTATTTTTTAGTAGAGACGGGGTTTCACTGTGTTAGCCAGGATGGTCTCGATCTCCTGACCTCGTGATCCGCCCGCCTCGGCCTCCCAAAGTGCTGGGATTACAGGCGTGAGCCACCGCGCCCGGCCCTCATGATTTTTTTTGAAGTGTTCTTCTCCTTGTATAGTTCCAGTGTCTTCCAGTTGATTATTTTGTATTGGTTTGGGATTTATCTTTCCTGTACCTTTCTTCCTCAGCCATCTGGCAATCTGCTCGTGTGGAAGGGTGAGCCCTTCACAGCTGATTGGATGCTCCGAGTGCACAGGTGGGGCTTGGCAGCTTCAACTGTCTGGGCCCTTTGACTGGAAACCTCTCTGCTTCCTGTTGGGATGGTGGCTGGCGTTCTGGGAACCGCATGAGGAATGAGGCTGGGGGATGGGATAGGGCTGCCCCAGCATCCGCAGTGCCCACACTCATGTAGTTCTCCTGTTCTCAGTGTGACTCCTTGCTTTCCACTGAGTTCAGTGTCTCCTAACCAGATCCTGTATTCACCCTCTTGAAATGAATCTCTGGCTTTCTGCAGGGGAGGGCAGAAAGTCAGTGATCTGGCTAAACAGAGTTGGGGAGATCTGGGGATCTGACAATTCCTTAAACAGCTTTTTTCCAGTTCTCATTACTTCAGCCTTTTCCTCCATCTTCATGTCCAGAGGGGCCAGGTGTCACCAATTAATCAGCCTTTTGGGGATTCAATGGTAAAAATAGGGCAGGCCTTTGGCTTCCTCACTGCCAACCCAGCATTCGACTCCAGGGATCAGCGACCTTAGTGACCTCTCCAAAGTGCCCTTGCTGCATCTCCTCCCCCATTCTCCCTGTGCTCACCGCCCACGGTATTTTCATGAGTGTTCAAGCTGCTGCTTTTACACAGGAGTGCTGATCACGCCATCCTTCTCCAGCCATGCTCTTCTCTTGGCTTCTTGAGTGCCCCATACCTGGTTCCCTTGTCTCCCACTGGCACTCCTCTTGTTGCTGCCTCCCCCTCTTCCTCCTCCTCATCCTGTACGTGGGTGCTGCCACAGGACTTCAGCCAAGGCTCCCATTTGCCTCTGTCTATACTCTCCGAGTGATCTCCTCTGGTCTCATGGTTTTAAACAATATCTGTTTGCTGGTGACACCCAAATTTGCATCTCTAGCCCTGCTTTCTCCTATTTGAGTAGATACTAGAAGGAAATGAGAGTCAAGCTCCGTGGATGTCTGGGAGAGTGGAATTCTGGGCACAGGGGGCAACAAGTGCTGGTGCCAGAGATGCGGTCTGCCTGGCATATTGAGGAGCAGCTGGGATGACCTTGAGCAGGAAGGACATACGGTCTGGTGTCTGAGTTAGGAGTCTGTGGTGGCCACAGCCATCACCTACTACCCTGCTCTACAGGAGAACAGATGGTGAAAATAGTGGAGTGGAGCATGAGTGTACGAGGTCAATGCTAAGGGCATGACCAAGTCATGGGGCCTATCTGTAGGACATGAGAGTCACGGGACTGATGCCTACATACTTGATGGAAAACCCAGGTGTGAAAACAAGAAGACCAAAGGTAGAAAATAGAGTACGTCTCATGACCTTGCTACTCAGACTGTGGTCCCTGGACCAGCAGCATCCGCATCATCTAACCTGGGAGCTGGTTAGAAAGGCAGAATCTCAGGCCCATCCCAGACCAAATCAGTATTTGCATTTTGGCAAGAGCCTCAGATAATTTGTTTGTACATTGAAGTTTGAGAAACGCTGCCTTAAGTGCTCCCAGTGAAGGACCATTGGGCACTCGGAGGAGAGTAGGTGTCTGATGCTCACACAAGTTCCTGAAGATATTCTGCTCATGGTTTGAAAGGCCTATATGTTACTAGATTATACAGTCACCAACCATATAAGATCTAAGGGACACCCAGGCAGAGAGAGTCAGGGATGTAGCCCAGGGCATCCTGGCACTGGAGTGGACCTCAAAGCTTGGACTGGGTACCCCACAGGTTCCTTTCCAACACCAAGAATTTATGCTTCTATATACAATATCTTTGTACATTATCTTTGCCTCCTTGTGCAAGTGATTTCTGTAAGACACATTCCATAAGTGGGCATGCTTAAAATTTTCATAGATATTGCCAGATTTCTCAACAAAAAAGGACACCCATTTGCATTCCTGGTATCAGAACACATGTGTTCTCCACGCTGTTGCCAACATAACTTATTATCAATCTTTTACATTTTGGTACTTGGATACATTAAAAAGTTATATTTAGTGATTCAAATTTATGTTATTGGAAGGTTGGACATCTTTTCATGTGTATTGATCATTTGTATTTTTTGCCCTGTAATAAGTCTGTTCACATACTTCTCTAATTTTTTTAATAAGGTGGTTTTTCTCACTACTGATTTATGCAAACTTTTTGATAAGTGGGAAATTAATTTTGGTCTTTTTCATTACAGATATTTTCTTTTGATTTCATTTAAGACACACACACACACACACACACACACACACACACACACACACAAGCACAAACATACCTTTACAGTGTAGAAATGTAAAATTGTGGCCAGGCGCTTATGCCTATAAATCCCAGCACTTTGGGAGGCCGAGGTGGGCAGTCACTTGAGGTCAGGAGTTTCAGACCAGCCTGGGCAACATGGCAAAACCCCTCTCTACTAAAAATTTAAAAAATTAGGAAGGTGTGGTGGTACATGCCCATAGTACCAGCTACTCAGGAGGCTGAGGCGGGATAATCGCTTGAACCCCAGAGGGAGAGGTTGCAGTGAGCCAAGATTGTGCCACTACACACCAGCCTGGGTGACAGAGTGAGACTGTCTCAAATAAAAAAAAATTAATAAATTTAATATTGTTAGTCACATTCATTTATCATGTCCTTTGTGGCTTCCAGGTTTCATGTTCATGCTTAAGAAGGCTTTCCCCCTTCCTAGCTTATTTTAAAAATGTACCCATGCAGGCCCAGTCAATTCATCAGATGATAAATTCAGTCTTTTAGAATTGTATCTTCTATGGACTGAATGTTTGTGTTCTCCCTCCACTGCCCCTGACTGCCGCCCCTTCATATGTTGAGGCCCTAACCCCCAATATGATGGTATTTGGAGGTGGGGACTTTGGGAAGTAACTAGAACCCCTGATGGGACTAGTGCCCTTGTAAGAAGAGGAAGACAGGCCGGGTGTGGTGGCTTATGGCTGTAATCACAGCACTTTGGGAGGCTGAGGTGGGCAGATCACGAGCTCAGGAATTCGAGACCAGCCTGGCCAAGAGGGCGAAAGCCCGTCTCTACTAAAAATACAAAAATTGGTCGAGTGTGGTGGCAGGTGCCTGTAATCCCAGCTACTCGGGAGGCTGAGGCTGGAGAATCGCTTGAACCCAGGAGGCGGAGGTCGCAGTGAGCTGAGATGGCGCCACTGCACTCCAGCCTGGGCAACAAGAGGGAAACTCCATCTCAAAAAAAAAAAAAAGAGCAGGAAGACAGAGGACTCTCTTTCCACATGTGTGCACCCAGGAAAGGCCATGTGAGGACACAATGAGAAGATGGCCCTAGTGTGCAAAGGCAGAGGGAGAGGGAGCATTTGACTGTCAGCAAATTGTTTTCTGGTGAATTGACCCACAGCCCAGAAACTGGCTCTTGGGTGGATTGATCAATTTACAGATTTTTCATTTTCTCCCTCACACTTAGTTGTTATTTTTATTACATTCTTCTTTCAGTCTTCTTTATGTTACTGTGTTGAGTGCTGGGTTAATTTTTCCATTTCTCCTCATGTCACAATGAGAGCATTTAAGGCGATGTGTTTCCCTTTGAGCACAGCTCTTGCCTCTCTTCCCCCATGAAACTGTTGCAGTACAAAAGAATTTATTCAGCTTGGGCCCCAAAGTCCAAATTCTAATGGGATGATGTGGGGTCTGTGGTAGTAATGAGGCCTGGCCCTTCTGCTTCCTCCTTTCCTACTTGTATGGCTCTCCTAGAACCAGAAAACAGGCTTGTCATGAAAGCCTCACTACTTCACGGAACTTAAACAAGTGTGTGCTGTCACGTTCCAATGCTGCTTATCGTGGCTAAGCCACTTAAACCTCAGGTATTAATAGAAGAGTTACTACATGTTTTGTATGGGTTTTTGCATGTTTGAAACTCATTTTGAATTATCTTGAGTATTTAGGCTTTATTTAAAATGAAAGACTATTAAATCACCTTGTGGCTAACCTTTTATCCCCTCCATAAGCCTTTACATCATTTACTGTCTGGAGTCTCTGAAATGCTCCATATTAACAATGTTTAAGAATTAGATTAGATTAGCCGGGCGCGCTGGCCCACGCCTGTAATACCAGCACTTTGGGAGGCCGAGGCAGTGGATCACCTGAGGTCAGGAGTTCGAGACCAGCCTGGCCAACATGGTAAAACCCTGTCTCTACTAAAAATACAAAAATTAGCCAGGCGTGCTGGCGCACGCCTGTAATCCCAGCTAGTGGGCAGGCTGAGGCAGGAGAATTGCTTGAACCAGGGAGGCAGAGGTTGCAGTGAGCCGAGATTGTGCAACTGCACTCCAGCCTATGCAACAAGAGTGAAACTCTGTCTCAAAAAAAAAAAAAAAAAAAAAAAAGAATTAGATTAGATTATGTACAAAAGTGCAGATAAGGCTATGAAGAAATGCACCCCAGTATTAACTGTGGTTAATTCTGGGTAAGTGGATTCTGGGCAACCTTTTTCTTCGTATTTTCCCTCCAATTTTAAACCTTTTCATTAGCATGTATTAATTTTATAATTTTAAAAGTGTTTTTAAATGATAGAAAATTTAAATTTTTGATATTGTGTAAATTGCAATTATGTAAAAAATAATATGTATATTAATAGGACTAAAAGAGATGTGCCAAAACATTAACAGAGTATTTTTCTGGGTGGTAGTGCAATGGATGATTTTTATTCCTTCCTTTTGCTAATCTGTATTTTCTTAGAATATATTTGTATATTCTTTATTCTTTTCATAATGGAAAAGTTAATTTTCTTTTTAATAAAGTAAATCGAATTCTGCCAGGATGTCCTGGGTACAGAGCTCTTCTTTTCACAGATGTTTCCTGCAATGTAAAGAGTTCTTTGAATTTAAATATTCAGATTTAATCTTTTCATTCTTGGGACAGTTTTGTAACTGCCCAATAGGGTTCACCTTGCCCACTGCCTAGACAGAGATGATTCATCAAGATAGGGGAATTGCAATAGAGAAAGAGTAATTCACGCAGAACTGGCTGTACGGGAGACCCGAGTTTTATCATTTCTCAAATCAGTCTCCTCAAGTATTCTGGGGTCAGAGTTTTTAAGGATAATTTGGTGGTGGGGGGCAATGAGTTAGGAGTGCTCATTGGTTGGGTCAGAGATAAAATCATAGGAAGTCGAAGATGTCTTCTTGCGCTGAGTCAGTTCCTGAGTGGGGACCACAAGATCAGACGAGCCAGTTACCAATCTGGGTGGTGCCAGCTGATTCACCAAATGCAGGAACTGCGAAATATCCTAAGCACTGATCTTAGGTTTTACAATAGTGATATTATCCCCAGGAGCAATTTGGGGAGGGTCAGAATCTGTCTCCAGCTGCATGACTCTTAAACCATAATTTCTAATTTTTTGACTAATTTGTTAGTCCTATAATACAAAGGCAGTCTAGTCCCCAGGCAAGAAGGGGGTTTGTTTTGAAAGGGATGCTATCTTTGTTTCAAACAATAAACTATAAACTAAATTCCTCCTAAAGTTAGCTCAGCCTACACCCAGGAATGAACAAGGGCAGCTTGGAGGTTAGAAGCAAGATGGAGTGGGTTAGCTCAGAACTCTGTCACTGTTTCAGTTATAATTTTGCAATGGCAGTTTCGGTTTTTCTTAATTATGCCTTTGATTATTTGTTCTAGTCTAATGGTTGTTGCTTCTTACTCAGGAACACCCTCTGTTCTTGGGTTGATCTCTGGTTTCTATACTTTTATATCTATCATCTTCTCTCTCATTTTTCATCACTTTATCATTTTTCTCTTTATCTGGGAGAGCTTTGCAAGTTTATCCTCCACATCAGTGCCCAAAGGACAGCCTCCCTCATCCTGGAAATGGGATTATAAGAAACTCATACCTGTTTAGAGGAGAAATTGAGAAACAGTCTGTGAATGCAGCCCAATTGAATGATGTAAAAGAAGTGAGGGTTGTTAGTGACATCCAAGAACCCTGGGAGCATGTGTCTGGGATTGCTGCTTGAACTCAAACCATGGGCCTGACCAGTTAGGATAGCGTGGCAGGACAGGCCAACACGAGGGCCCAGGAGCCAGCTGGGAACCCCATCTCCCTCCTAGGGAGGGGAGGCCACAGGGGAAAGAGAGTCACAGGACGGATCTGCTGGGACCAGCCCTGATGCACAGATGCTAATACACACAGAAAGAGTTGTTTCCAGAGTTCCAGCACCACAGCTCCTCCCTCCAGGAGGAGCTCTTTTTTGAGAAAGAGTCTTGTTCTGTTGCCCAGGCTGGAGTGCAGTGGCTTCATCTTGGCTTACTGCAACCTCCACCTCCTAGGTTCAAGTGATTCTCCTGCTGATACAGAATGGCTGGGTTCCAGCTAAACCCTACCCTCAAGCCTGGAACCTTGGCCCTAAGTGAAAGCAGCTGACCCTGCAGGTCTGGGTTCCCAGCTAAACTCCACCCTCAAGCCTGGAACCTCGGCCCTGCGTGAAAACAGCTGACCCCATTTTTCTGCCCAAATGATTGCCTTTTTGGCCTGCCACGCCCCTATGCTGTGCCCATAAAAAGACTTCAGCTGAAAGAACAACACAAGCGGCTGATGCAAGTGGTCAGGGCTGCAAGCTGCTGAGTATCAGGGATACATGCGGCTGAGCGTCGGCGACTACGGATAGACATAGTTAACTTCAGATGGTGTGGCTTCAGGGAAAGATCACCTTCCCGCACCATCTCCCTTCCAATTCCCTGTCCTGCTGAGAGCCACTTTTACTGCCCAGTAAAATCCTTCACATACTACCCTTCAAATAGTTCATATGACCTGATTCTTCCTGGACACCAAACAAGAACTTGGGTGTCAAAAAGGGCAGGTGCAGGAGGCTGTCACCCTGACCCTTCACCAAGTTGTTAACACTTAGCCATCCATGAACTGCAGGGTGAATGAGATGAGCGACTCCAGTTCCTGCCCATGAAGGGGGTCAAGGGAAAAATTTCACCTCAGTGCCTCAGCCTCCTGAGTAGCTGGGACTACAGATGTGTGCCACCACGCCCGGCTAATTTTTGTATTTTTAGTAGAGACAAGATTTCACCACATTGACCAGGCTGGTCTCGAACTCCTGGCCTTAAGCGATCCACCCGCCTCTGCCTCCCAAAGTGCTGGGAATACAGGCATGAGCTACTGCACCCTGTCTGTTGCATGGCTTTTGAGGTCTTTGTCATAAATTCTTTCCCTAGGTCAATGTATTATTAAAAAGTCAAAAGGCAACAGATGTTGGTGAGGATGCAGAGAAAAGGGAACACATACGCTATTGGTGGGAATGTAAATTGGTACAACCTCCATGGAAAACAGTATGGAGATTTCTGAAAGAACTAAAACTAGAGCTACCATTTGACCTAGCACTCCCACTACTGGGTATCTACCCAAAGGGAAATGAATCGTTATATGACAAAGATACCTGCACTCGTACGTTTATTGCAGCATTATTTACAATAACAAAGTCATGGAATTAACCTAAGTGTCCATCAGCAGATGATGGGGTAAAGAAAATGTGGTATACATACACCATGGAATACTACTCAACCATAAAAAAGAAAGAAAGAATGTCTTTTGCACCAATATGGATGGAACTGGAGGCCATGATCCTACCTAAAATAATTCAGAAACAGAGAGTCAAATACCACATTCTCACTTATAAGTGGGAGCTAAACAATGTGTACACATGGACATACAGAGTGGAATAATAGACACTGGAGACTCCACAAGGTGGGAGGGTGGAAGGGGGTTGAGGGATGAAAAAGTACCTGTTGGATACCATTTACATTATTCGGGTGATGGTTACACTAAAAGTCCAGGCTTCATCGCTATGCAACATATTCATGTAACAAAAATGCACTACATTTATAAATATTTTTTAAAATGTTATTTTCTTTTTGTCACCAAAGTTGGGCTCCCATCAGAGCCACCTGGGCCTCTAATGATTCCATTATTTTGGTTGTACTAGCCAGCCTTCCTGGAGCACTGTGAGGTTTGGGCCTTGGGGATACAACCCTTTGGTTTTACGACATGGATCTCTCTCCCAGGGTGTGTGATGCCCCATGGGGCTGATTTACAGAGGCTTTCCCAGCACAGTCTCACAGTGACAGGAGCCACTGCTCCCTGCAGCATGCACCGTCCTGCTGAGTATATTCCTCCTCTGCCCTCACCATGGGAAGCTGTCTGTCAGGGCCCAGTGCTTGTCCTGTTTCCTGGCTTCATCACCAAGTCTGATGAAATGCTAAGTTCAGGTCATTACCATGGACTTCTGCACTCCATAGAAGTCCAGGTGGCCAGACGCAGTGGCTCACACCTGTCATCCCAGCACCTTGGGAGGACGAGGCTGGAGGATTGCTTGAGCTCAAGAGTTTGAGACCAGCCCAGGATGGCTTTGAATGAGGCTCAACACAAATTCATAAACTTTCTTAAAACATTATGAAACTTTTTTCGTGTGTAGTTTTCTTTTAGCTCATCAGCTATTGTTAGTGTTAGTGTATTTTATGTGTGGCTCAAGGCAATTCTTCTTCTTCCAATGTGGCCCAGGGAAGCCAGAAGATTGGACACCCATGGTTTTATTAATATAGTTACCCCTCACTTTTAAACATAGTTTTACTGAGGTATATTTCATGCACTGTAAGATTTACCCCTTTACAGTGTCTGTCTCAGTGGTTTTAGTATATTCATGGAGTTGTGAAGCAATCACCACATTTAATTTGAGAACTCTTGACCACGCCAGGAAGAAACCCCTTGCACATGAGCAGCCATTCCTTATTCATGCTATCCCTTGCTCCACCCCATCCCCAGGCAACCGCTAACCTGCCTTCTGTCTCTGTGGATTTGCCTTTTATAGACATTTAATATAAATCAAATCATCCAGTGTGTAGTCTTTTGTGACTGGTGAGGACTAAGCTTTGATTTTTTATCTTGCCCAAATTCCTATCTAAGGGGTCTGGGGAGTCATGCCCTACAAACCATAAATTTTCATCAGATGGGTTTTATTTAGCCCTATATATCGTGACTTACTTTCCAACCTGACTCTGGCAAGTTGGAAAACATTATGAGGCAAGAAAGAAAATAAAAATATTTTATCCCAAAACATGTTTCTGGAAACGGCCCTGCAAAGCTGTCCTTTGTGGGGGAAAATGTGCACCTGTAAAGAATCTCTATTTGCATAGCTAGATCTTTTTCTTCCAGGCCCTCCCAATCCCAAAGAGATTAATTAAGAGTCTAGTGCCTTTTAAAGATCTGAATAGGAAACATTTCTCATCTATTGTCTCCAAGGGTAGTCACTATAAGACTTCAAAAGAAACTTGGGCCAGGCGCGGTAGCTCACGCCTTTAATCCCAGCACTTTGGGAGGTGGGCGGATCAAGAGGTCAGGAGATCAAGACCATGGTGAAACCCCGTCTCTACTAAAAATACAAAAAATTATCTGATACAAAAAATTAGCTGGGCCTGGTGGTGGGCGCCTGTAGTCCCAGCTACTCGGGAGGCTGAGGCAGGAGAATGGCGTGAACCCGGAAGGCGGAGCTTGCAGTGAGCCGAGATCGGGCCACTGCACTCCAGCCTGGGCGACAGAGCGAGACTCCGTCTCAAAAAAAAAAAAACAACAACAACAAAAAAGAAACTTGATCTCCACAGTCTGTTATCTAACCTGAACATTTTCCTTTCTAGAGATCCCAGGTCTTAAACTCAACCAATTGTCAACCAGAAAATGTATAAATTTACCTATATTACCTACAGCCTGCAGGTGCAAGGCTCTTGTATTGGTTCCAAACCCGAGAGCGCGCCGACAAACACCACAAGGTGGTTTGGAGCAACACGTTGTTTCAATGAGCACCTGGGTGCAGGTGGGCTGAGACCTAAAATGGTGTCAGCACCAGATGAGGACGGGGCAGGGGTTTTATAGTCTCCTGTAAACAGGAAGTGTCTCAGTCTGATGTAACGGCTACGCGGTACCCCGGTGGCCTCTCTCGGTCTTCAGGGAGTACGTGTCTTCCGGCCAGCTCTCTTCCTGCCTCTGCTATCTCACCGATGCAGGTTGCTGGTGCAGGTGGCCTTGCACCTTGGGACTGGGCCTGAGGAAGGAGGAGTTATTCATTCCCTTAAGCTTGCAGGCCCGGGAGAGAAACTTTCAGCTGGAAGCAACCCCCTCCCCCGCCCTCCCTCCCTCCCTCCCCAGTCCCCCTGAGTTGTCTCACCTTTCTGGACCAAACCAATGTATTTCTTAAATGTATTTGATTGATGTCTCATGCCTCCCTAAAATGTATAAAACAAATCTGCACCCCAACCACCTTGTGCACATGTGCTCAGGACCTCCTGAGGGCTTTGTCACAGACCACGGTCACTCATATTTGGCTCAGAATAAATTCCTTCAAATATTTTACAGAGTTTGACTCTTCGTTGACACTAGCTTCTTTCACTTAGCATAATAAGTCAAGGTTCATCCACGGTTGGTATGTCTCAGCACTTTTTTTTTTTTTGAGACAGGATCTTGTTCTGTCGCCTAGCTTGGAGTGCAGTGGCATGATCTGGGCTCACTGCAGCCTCTGCCTCTCAGGCTCAGGTGACCCTCCAGCCTCAGCCTCCTGAGTAGCTGGGACCACAGGCATGCGTCACCATGCCCAGCTAACCTGTGTATTTTTGTAGAGACAAGGTTTCGCCATATTGCCCAGCTGGTCTCAAACTCCTGGGCTCAACCAATCTGCCCCCGTCGGCCTCCCAAAGTGCTGTGATTACAGGCATGAACCACTGTGCCTGGCCCACTTCGTTCTTTATTATTGCTGGATAATATTCCATTGTGTGGATACCCACATCTTATTTCTTCACCAGCTCATGGACATGTTTTCACTTTTTGGCTAATATTAATAATGCTGTTATGAATATTCATGTACAAGTTTTTGTGTAGGCATGTGTTTTTATTTCTCTTTCATTATATTTAAAAGTGCGATTGCTGGATCATATGATGACTCCATGTTTAACATTTTGAGGAACTGCAGGACTGTTTTCCAAAGTGATTGTACCATTTTACATTAGGATCAGCAATGTATGAGGATTCTAATTTATCCATGGCCTCACAAGCACTTGTTATTGTCTGTCTTTTTAATTTCAGCCCTCTTAGTGAATGTGAAGTGGCAATTTTCATGTGCGTCCGTGTGAAGAGACCGCCAAACAGGCTTTGTGTGAGCAACATGGCTGTTTATTTCACCTGGGTGCAGGCGGGCTGAGTCCGAAAAAAGAGTCAGCGAAGGGTGGTGGATTGTCATTAGTTCTTATAGGTTTTGGGATAGGCGGTGAAGTTAAGAGCAACGTTTTGCCGGCAGGGGTGGATCTCACAAAGTACATTCTCAAGGGTGAGGAGAACTACAAAGAACCTTCTTAAGGGTGGGGGAGATTACAAAGTACATTGATCAGTTAGGGTGGGGCAGAAACAAATCACAATGGTGGAATGTCATCAGTTAAGGCTATTTTTACTTCTTTTGTGGATCTTCAGTTACTTCAGGCCATCTGGATGTATACGTGCAGGTCACAGGGGATGCGATGGCTTGGCTTGGGCTCAGAGGCCTGACAGCAATCATTGTAGTTTTCATCTGTATTTCCCTAGTGACTTATGACGTTGAACGTCTTTTCCTTTGTTTGTCGGCCATTTGTATTTCTTCTTTGGAGAAGTGTCTATTCAAAGGCTTTGCCCACTTTTGATTGAGTTATTTATCTTTTTGTTGTTGAGTTGTAAGATTTATTTATATATTCTGAATACCAGCCCCTTATCAGATATATGATTTTCAAATATTTTCTCACACTCTGTGGGTTGTCTTTTTACTTTTTTGATGATGTCCTTTAAAGCACAAAAGTTTTACATTTTGATGCAGTCAACTTACCTATTTTTTCTGTGTGTGCGTATTTTGTGTTGTATCCAGACAACCAATGCCTAACCTGATGTCACAAAGATTTCTCCAGTATGTTCTTCTAGAAATTTTATGCAATTTAGCTCTTGAAGTTAGGTCTATGATCCATTTTCAGTTTTTTTGTGTGTGTATAATTTGAAGTAGGGGTCCAAATCATTCTTTAGCATGTGTATATCCAGTTGCCCAAGTACGTACCACTTATTAAAAAGCCAATTTTCCCCACTGAATTGTCTTACGCTCTTTTTGAAAACCGATTGACCATAAATATGAGGGTTTATTTCTGGACTCTCAATTCTATTCCATTGACCTATGTATTTATCCTTATGTTAGCAGTACATTTCCTCACTTTCTACCTGGGCCTCTATATCTAAAGTGGTTTCTATAATATGGTTAGGTCTTGCTTTTTTCTTTTTTAAATTTCATTCAACTTGATTATCTCTGTCTTTTAACTGGAGTATTTACATCATATTTAAAGTGATTATGGATATAGTTGAATGAAAAACTACCATCTTCACCATCTTCATAACTATTTTTGTTTTCATTTGTTTTTTGTTTCTTTTCACTCCTTCCTTCTGCATTCTCTTGTTTTAATTATGTTATATGATTCCGTTTTATCTTTTATCCTGGAGTATCATTTATACTATTAAAACCTTTTTAGTGGTTGTTTTAGAGTTTTTACAATCTGCACTTAAAAATAACCTAAGCCCGCATTCAAATAATACTATACCACTTCATATCTAGTATAGGTACCTCATAATACAGCATTCCCAACCTCTTTTTCCCATCCCTTGTGACATTACTATCATTTATTTCACTTATCCATATTAGATATTTTTAAATATCTAATAGCTTGCAGTTCTGGAGGCTGGGAAGTCCAAGCATACAATACACTGTTAATTACCATTTTCAAGTTTTCTTTTAGAACAATTAAGAATTTTAAACAATTGTGTATTATCTTTGTTTAGCCTTTGATGGTGTTCCTTTCTTTACGTAGATCAAGGTTTCTGACCTAAATAATTTTCTTTCTGCCTGAAGAACTTTAACATTCCATGCTGATAATGAATTCCCTCAGTTTTTGTCTGAGAAAGTGTTTATTTCTCCTCCTTTTCTGAAGGATAATTTCTCTGGATATAAAATTTTAGATTGGCAATTTCTTTTAACACTTTAAGGGTTTTGCTGCACTTTCTTCTTGCTTGCATGGTTTCTGATGAGAAGTTCACTGTAATCCTATTCCTCTGCAGGCCAGGTGTTCTTTCTACCTGGGGACTAAGCCTTTGCTAGGAATGATAGTCTGGGCAGGTTTTCAGATGCCTACTCTTCTCTTCTCCCATCTTGACCCGAAGGGGCTCTTTCTCAGATTATCCCCATGGGAACCTAGTGGGGCTTCTGGAGTGACAGTCCATGTAAGTGTCAAGCCCCTCTTATGGCTGCAGGCCCTCACCAGAGTTTCTCACTCTCATACAAGTCTGCACTCAGCCTCCTGCAATTCAGCAAAGTAATAATTTAAGTGTTCCCACCAGCTTACTGATTCTAATGGCTTTTATTCTAGGTAAGTAGATCTCAGGAGCAATAGCTCTGTGGATGCATCTGTCTCTCCAGAGCTCAGGGTAGTGGTTTGCCCTGTGACCTCAGTCTCTGATGGTTCCAAGAAGAGTCTATTATCTTCAATTTGTCCAGCTTTTTCTGGTATACATAGGTATGATGACTTAGCAGCTCTTTACGTCTAGGAGCTTGTTTGTGTGTTTTTTTTAAAGGTGCTTGAATGGATGAATAACTCTTTACCGTAAGACTAGAGAAATCTGTGTGTCTGCTCCTCAGGTTGAACCCCAGTGGGTGGTGAACGAGTTAGTGCCCAAGCCCTAACCTATTTTTTTAGGCAAAGGCTCTGTCTTCTGCCTCCTCTCATGTAAGCAATGAAATGTTAATCAGCAGGTTAGAGTTGCATTAAACCAGGGTTGGGGTTTAGCCAGGTGAGTGAGGACCAGAGAGTTGAGGGTGTGTGTTAAGTGAGTGATTATACACGTGAATCATAAAATTTAAGCCTGAAAAGTAGAGAAAGGAGGGATGGTGAAAAGGCAATAGGAACTGTTGTAGGTTCTGGTTTCTTTTATATAGTTAGGTAGTAATGACTTCTTATTACCTAGTCAGCACTTTCAATAGAAATCAACAACTGTTTTGGGACCATCACTAGGCAAGGCACTGTGTTAAATGATGTAGCACAAAAAAAGACCATCTGTGCCATTCAGGAGAGGTAAGCATGCAATTCAAGGAGACAAAGTATTCCAAGTACTATACTAAAAAGCAAAAGATTCTGAAAAGAGTCTAGTATCTTCAGCTGACCATTCAAAAATTTCCACAATGTGTTGCTAAGCCATTTTTTGTTCTTATCTCCCTACTCCCCTAAACAAATCCACTGTGAGTCCATCATCATTTTATGAGCATCGTTTTCCTTTTTCCCTTCTCTGCACCTTTTGCATGCTGGTAATGTTCTTCCTAGAATGCTTACTTGTATGACCTCCTCCAGCAAAACTCACTTGCCATCCTGAAGGCTGAGCTCAAATGAGGAAACCAGGAAGCCTTTCTAATATCTTTAGCAGTAGTTGTTTCCTCTCTTCTCAATTGTTCACATGGTATCTACCATATGCAGATACTTGGATCACCTCCTCCAGCAGACACTGTGGACATTTTCCTGCCTGTCTGTGTAGCAGTGCCTGCCCTTTATGTAAGTAAGGGAAGCCCACGAGGAAAAGAGATACATAAAGAAGGAGGTTAGAACCAGATGGTTGAAATCAGCCACTGCCTTGGGCTTCCTGGTTGTCATGGATATGATATTTTCTATTGTTCATAACTCTGGTATCTATGGTGAGCTCACAATTAAAGCTAGAACTTTATAAAGGCAAGAAACAAGACTGGCAGTGGCTTACTTAATATTTCAATGAAGGTGGAGGGCACTGTCTTAGTTGGTTTTCTGCTTCTAGAACAGAATACTCAAGACTGCGTAATTTATAAAGAAGAGAGATTTATTTCGTTTACAATTCTGGAGGCTAGGAAGTCCAAGATCAGATGGCCACATATGGTGAGAACCTCATGGTGTGTCACAGCATGGTGGAAAAGTGGAAGGTGAAGCCAGTGCCTGTGAGAAGAAGAGAAATGAAGTGGGCTGACCCACTTTATAACAACCTACTCTCTGGAGAACTAACCCAGTTTCTTAAGAACTGCACTGGGAATTGAACAATGAGAACACTTGGACACAGGAAGGGGAACATCACACACTGGGGCCTGTTGTGAGGTAGGGGGAGCGGGGAGGGATAGCATTAGGAGATATACCTAATGACGAGTTAATGGGTGCAGCACACCAACATGGCACATGTATACGTATGTAACAAACCTGCACGTTGTGCACATGTACCCTAGAACTTAAAGTATAATAAAACAAATATATATATACATAAATATATATATAATATATATAATATAAATATATAAATATATATAATATATATAATATAAATATATAAATATAAATATATATATAAATAAAACAAATATATATATATATATATATACACACACACACACACACACACACACACACACACACACACACATAAAGAACTGCATTAATCCCTTCATGAGGCTGGAGCCCCATGACCCAAACACTTCCCATTAGGCACCCCCTCCCAACACTGCTACATTTAGGAATTAAGGTCCCAACACATGAACTTTTTGAGGGATATACTCAAACCATATCATGCAGGTATGGCAAGGAGAGATAGATGGGGTAAAGATTAAAATAAATACGTACTTTTCCAATGGTTTCCCTCCCCAACAAAATATTACATGTTAAGTTAGCTCAAATCTTGTTTTAGGTCTATTTCATCTTTTCCTGTTAAGAGAGCAATATAACTCACTCCACCAACTGACTCCCTTCTCACCACCTCACAATCCACGGTATCTCTTAAAATGACCAACTCACCACTGGCACGGGGGCTCACGCCTATAATCCCAGCACTTTGGGAGGCTGAGGCTGGTGGATCATCACCCGAGGTCAGGAGTTCAAGAACAGCCTAGCCAACATGGCAAAACCCCATCTCTACTAAAAATACAAAAATTAGCTGGGCGTGGGAGCGCACCTGTAATCCCAGCTACTTGGGAGGCTGAGGCAGGAGAATCGCTTGAACCCACGAGGCGGAGGTTGCAGCAAGCCAAGATTGTGCCATTGCACTCCAGCCTGGGCAATAGAATGAGACTTCGTCTCAAAAAAAAAAAAAAAAAAAAAAAAAAAAGACCAACTGAATATGATAAGTGGAGAAAAATAATCCATGTCAGGGATTTCAAGGAGTGTGTACTGAATGTGGCATATACAGGACAACACTGAAGAAGAGGTTGACAGTAGGCTTTCTGGTCTCTCTCTCTCTCAGTAAGTAGATGGGACCCAGATGGGACCCTCTAACTTAAGTGATGAGGTACAGAGGTAAGGGAGCTAGGGACACGTGGGAGACTTTCAATACTTGGACTGCCTTTTGCCCAGCATTTACAGGGTTGGCTTCAGCCAACATAAAACAGCAGCCTTAGGTAAGAGGTAGTGTATGGTCTTGGCTGGACCTTGGCATAGTTCAGTACCTGGCATTAGCCAAACTGCAAACTTTGAGGACACAGTTTCCACACAAGAACACCCTCTGTTCTGATGCCAACTATAAGTTTGAGGGCTCCCCCAAAACGCTTTTAGTTTTGATAATTCACTAGAAACCTCATAGGACTCACTGAAAGCTATTATACTCACTGTTATGGTTTATTAAGGGAAACGATACAGATTAAAATCAGCCAAAAGACTAGGTACAGTGACTGTTACCTGTAATCCCATTGTTTTGGGAGGCTGAGGCAGGAGGATCACTTGAGCCCAGGAATTTGAGGCTACAGTGAGCTGTGATTGTGCTACTGCACTCCAGCTTGGGTGACAGAGGGAGGCTGTTCAACTAATTAACTAAACTAAGTAACTAATAAAATAATAAAATCAGCCAAAGGAAGAGATACATAGGGCAGAGTCTGGGAGTGCTCCAAACGTGAGGCTTCTGTTCCTTCCCCATGGAATCAGGACATGTCACCCTTCTGGTATTGATATGTGACAATACTCACAAAGTATTGCTAATCAGAGACGCTCACCAAAGTTTCGGTATCTAGAATTCTTATTTGGGGCTTTGTTATGTGCTCATGATTGATCAATTGATTGCCTTGTTGTTGAACTTAGTCTTCAGGTCAATTGATACTTCATGCTCCAAAGCCCCCATCCTAAGTCACATGATTAGGCTTTCTGTCATGGCCAGCTTCTATCCTAAGCCTTTAACCCAGTGCGGCCAGCCCCATCCTTAAACAAAGGCACTCCTATTAGATATGGCATAGCTTACCTCCTAGAAGCCTAAGGCAAAGGCCAGACGTCAATTGGGGCAGGACCAAACTCTTCACTACACAGCTACACAGTAAGTTAGAAACAGAGTTAATTCATGGGATAGTGGTTTTGCCCAACAGAGAAGAGCAAAAATAAAGCTCCCTTGCAGGGGAGTGCATGAATCTTCTTCCCTCTTCTCCCTTGGCAGGTTGTTGGATTGTACAACTAGAATTGCAAGTTTATATCAACTGGCCCTCCAGCCTAAGAAGTAAGAGGAAGATACTAATAACAGAGAGGCTCACAGTGAGGAAAAACGTTTTACTTATCCACATCCTAAACACCTGGATTGGATTGACTTTTCTTTGTTCAAAAATTAGTAAAAAGAAAATACTAATATGACAGCTAAGAAAATAATTTATAGTTAAGAGATGGAGAATTGAGATATAGAAGGGGAGAATTATTTGGAAAAAAAATTTATTCAAGAAGGAGATTAGCCTAGGTAAAGAATTTATGGCTAAGACCCCAAAAGCAAATACAACAAAAACAAAAATAAATAAATGGGACCTAATTAAACTAAAAAGCTTCTGCACAGCAAAAGAAATAATCATCAGAGTAAACAGACAACCTATAGAATGAGAGACAACATTTGCAAATTATGCATCTGACAAAGGACCAATATCCGAAGCCTACAAGGAATCAAACAAATCAGCAAAAACCTCACCAGATAATCCCATTAAAAGGTGGGCAAAGGACATGAATAGATATTTCTCAAAAGAAAATATAAAAATGGCCAAAAAATGTAAGAAAAAATGCCCCACATCACTAATCATGTTGGAAATGCAAATTAAAACCACGATGAGATACTACCTTATCCCAGCCAGAATGGTCATTATTAAAAAGTTAAAAAAAAAAAAGAT
The DNA here is from genome assembly GCF_000001405.40 of Homo sapiens. Classification (NCBI taxonomy): domain Eukaryota; kingdom Metazoa; phylum Chordata; class Mammalia; order Primates; family Hominidae; genus Homo; species Homo sapiens. The sequence continues at coordinate 4,653,137 of NC_000020.11, read as the reverse complement.
GTTGGTGTGGATGTAGGGAAAAAAGAAAACTTATACGCTGCTGGTGGGAATGCAGATGAATACAACCTCTGTGGAAAACAGTACAGATATTTCTCAAACAACTAAAAGTAGATCTACCATTTGATCCAGCCATCCCACCACTGGGTATCTACCCAAGGAAAATAAGTCCTTATGTCAAAAAGATATCTGCATATGTGTTTATGGCAGCACAATTCACAATTGTAAAGATATGGAATCAATCTAAGTGCCCATCAACTGATGAGTGGATAAAGAAAATGTTATATATATATTTGTGTGTGTGTATATATATGCACCATGGAATACAATTCAGCCTTAAAAAGGAAGAAAATAATGTCTTTTGCAGCAACTTGGATGGAACTGGAAGCCATTATTCTAAATGAAGTAACTCAGGAATCAAAAACCAAATACTGCATGTTCTCACTTATAAGTGGAAGCTAAGCTATGGGTATGCAAAGGCATGCAGAATAGTATAATGGATAATGGAGACTCAGAAGTGGGGAGGGTCAAGGGGGTGAGGGATGAAAAACTACCTATTGGGTACACTGTACACTACTCGGATGACAAGCGCACTAAAATTCTAGACTTCACTGTTATATACAATTCATCCTTGTAACCAAAACCACTTATACCCCTAAAGCTATTGATATTAAAAAATTTTTTTAAAAGAAGGAGTAAGTTTTAGAAAATGCCTGTGAAGTGTTCTCAATATTCTTAAGATATGATCTTGAAATGAGACTAATGGTGAATGATAATACAGCAGAAGTGACAAGGTAGGTGGCTGATGAGCTATCTTAAATGGGGGTTAAAAAATAGGCAGAGTTTTGTTATAGAATTTAAATCTTCAAAAAATAATGAAGCTGAATAAAACCTATTTAAAATTAGATTAGTGATGTGGAGAGAAAACTTGAGAAAGCTTCCCAGAATAGAGCGAGAAAGGTACAGGATGAAATGCAAGACAGGAAAAAGTAGTAAACATTGAGAAGAGAGGAAGGAGGCCCAACATCAGATAAATGGTGATAGCGATGGGATGCAACATTCAGAGAAATCAGGGGGTAAAATAGAAGAAACTTTTCTTGACCTGAAGAAAAACCTAGCACCAGGGAAAAATAATTTTTAAAATGTGCCCACCCTCCAAGATGGCTCCCAAGGTCCCCACTTGCAGGTATTCACATTGGATTAGGGTAGGTCTGTGTGACTAATAGCATATGGCAGAAGCAATAGTCTATCACTTTTGAGATTAGGTTGTAAAGACGCTGTAGCTCTGTCTTGGTGGTTCTTTCTCTTGGATTACTTTTTCTGGAGGAATGAAGTCACCATGTCATGAGTAGCTCTTTGGAGAGGTCCATGTGGGGAGGAACTGAGCCCTCTGACCTCCCACCATGGCAAGCCTTCATATGACTCTAGCCTCAGCTGACATAGTGAGATGCCCTGAGCCAGACCTATTCAGCTAAGCCACTCCTGGATTCCTAGAGAGATCCTCAGTATTTGTTGCTTTAAAGTGCTGAATTTTGAGGTAATTTGTTATGGAGCAATAGATAACTAATACAGTCATGAAGTAGAAGGAACTAGAAGGGAGATTAGGGAGTAGCTGGAAAAACAGGGGAAATCTAGAGATTAGGGCATGTTTAAATGCTAGTGGAAGAATTCAATAGACAAAGAGAAAGGTTGGAGGTACAACAAGGGGAAGGGGCTATGTAATCACATGAGGCTCCTGAGAAGGTGGGTAGGGGTGGTATCCAGGGGTAGGTAGGTATAGGGATAGGCCTTCAGAAGGAGCACGGGAACTTTTTGAGGGTCTCAAAATCAAATGCTTAGTTGCCTGGCAATGTAGGCATTTAAGTTTGAGATCCCTCAAGAGAGACAAGCCTCTGATAAGCTTACTTGAGAAAATGCAATTATGTAACATTCATAAGAAAGAGGATATTATGGAGAATGAGATTAAAACCATGTAAGAAAAATGATACACAACTCTAAGCTTAAGAATTTGAAAATTCAGAGGAAATTTTTTCCCTAAGACAATTATCAATTGCCAAAATTGTTTCAAAAGAAACAGAGGCTGGTCATGGTGGTTCACATCTGTAATATCAGCACTTTGGGAGGCCAAGGTGAGCAGATCACTTGAGCCCAGGAGTTTGAGACCAGCCTGGGCAACATGGTGAAACCTCATTTTACTAAAAATACAAAAAGTAGCCAGGCGTGGTGCCCACCTGTAGTCCCAGCTACGCTGGAGGCTGAGGTGGGAGGATTGCTTGAGCCTGGGAGGTGGAGGTTGCAGTGATCCAAGATCGTGCCACTGCACTCCAGCCTGGGCAACAGAGCAAGACCTTGTCTGAAAAAGAAAAGAAAAAAAAAGAAAGTCAGAATAATAACCATAGAAGAAATGGAAACAGTTGTTAGGAAATTACATCAAGAAAGATGTTGGACACATGGTTTCATAGGTTATTGCATTAATTAAAATTAAATAAAATGGAAAATTCTCTTCTTCAGTTTCACTAGCCACTTTTGAAGTGCTCAGTAACCACATATGGCTAGTGGTTGCCATATTGGAGAAGAGAGATATAGAGCATTTCTGTCACTTCAGAAAGTTCTATGGGTCAGTGTTGCTTTAAAGGGATAGGCAGTTCTTATTCTGTGTAACTTGTTTCCAGGTGCATAAAAATGCTGTGAATCTCCCAATTTGTTTTGTGAAACTAGAGGTGCACTGATGCTAAAACACAGCCAAGTTGACATCACAAAATTTAGAAACAAGTCTCACTTGTGAATAAATGCAGTACTTCAGACTCAGATGCTCATTCAGGAAAAATTCAAATTGGCATTCCGAAAGTGCAAGGATATTTGAATAATAGGAAATCCATTAGTATGGTTCATCACATCAGAATAGAAAAGGAGAAAAGCATATGATTATCTTCATAGATACAAAACAACATTTGAAAAAAATTGAACAGTCATTTCTGAATACACTAACAGGAAGGATCTTTATTTAGTATACTGAAGAAAAGCCTCTTCAGACATCATTATCGTCCCAAACAGCCAATCTGATATTTAATGATAAAAATACTACAGGCATTCCAATTAAAGTAAGAAATAGGATCAAGGCCTTCTACCATTTTTATACTTTGATAGTGTTCTAGAAATTCCAGTATAAAATTATAGAAGAATAAGAGGAATAGAGAAAAGAGAGAAATTATATAAAATTTGTGACATATTTTTAAAAAATCATAACTAGAAGTCCAAGAGAATCAATTACAAACTAAGAGAGTTCAGTAAGGCATGAGAAGTGGCCCCTGACAGCTGAGAACAGGCATTACCACCGGGCTGCTGTCATCTCCTGTTGAACATAAACACTTAAGCAGAACACAAACATCAATCAAGGCCACTTTATCTCACTGATGGATCAGGACAAAACCCAAATTTCTCTGTAATCATGTCTGAACCCAAAAGAAGACATTAAAAGTGACCAAACGTGCCTTGTCCAGGCTGAGTTGTGATTCTGCTTCTTTACTTCACTTTATTCTTCCTGCCTTCTAATTCTAAATACCAGCGATTCAGATACCCAATCATAGAGCTGCCCCTGTTTCCAGACAGTAGCCAATTCAGAGCACAGCCTTGCTCCCTGGAACCCTTCTCAAAATCAGCTAATACAAGCCCCAATCCTCTAATTCTTTTATAACATCCTCCTACTAAGACACCCTAGAGTTCCCTGAGGTGTGTATTTTTCTTGATTACAATGAGCAGCAAACCCAATTTGTTCAACTCCTTGGAGGTCTTTAACTGATAGGCATTGACAGGTGGCTATTAAGAAACACATTCGCAGCCGGGCACAGTGGCTCATGCCTCCAATCCCAACACTTTGGGAGGCCAAGGCAAGTGGATCACTTGAGCCCAGGAGTTTGAGACCAGCCTGGGCAACATAGTGAGACCCTGTCTCCACAAAAATTAGCTGAGCATGGTAGTGTGTGCCTGTAGTCCCAGCTACTCAGAGGGTTGAAACAGGAGAACCACTTGAGCCCAGGAGCTCGAGGCTGCAGTGAGCTGAGATGGCACCACTGCACTTCAGCCTGGGTGACAGAGTGAGATCTTGTCTCAAAAAACAAAAACAGAAACAAAAACCACATATGCAAATAGTAGCAACAGTAGCAACAACAACAAAACATCAATAAAATATACTGTGATAACTAGTAAGAAATATACAATGAAAAAAGTACACATACAGATTTGTGCATTTGAAAAAGTCTTAAGAGAAAAGGTATCTAAATGTTAACTTTGGTTACCTTCTACTTTGTGGAACTTAGATTACTTTTTTGAATTTCTAAATTCTTTTTTCTTTTTATTGTGGTTAGAATGTTTAACATGAGGTCTACCCTCTTAACAGATTCTTAGCGTACAATACAGTATTGTTAACTATATGCACAATGTTGTACAGCAGATCTCTAAAACTTATTCATCTTGCATAACTGAACTTTATACCCATTGAATAGCAACACCACATTACCCCTGAGTAGCTGGGATTACAGGCGCCCACCGCCAGGCACAGCTAATTTTTTTTTTTTTGGATTTTTAGTAGAGATGGGGTTTCACCGTGTTGGCCAGGCTGGTCTCAAACTCCTGACCTCAAGTGATCCACCCACCTTGGCCTCCCAAAGTGCTGGGATTACAGGCATGAGCCACTGCTCCAGGCCCAATTTCTTCCTTTTTAAAGGCTGAATAATATTCCATTGTAGGTACTGTATATATCACATTTTCTTTATCCATTCATCTGCTAATGGATACTTACATTGTTTCTCTTTCTTGGCTATTATGAATAATACATGGGAGTGCAGATATCTCTTTGCAATCTGGTTTTCAATTGATTGGATATATACTTAGAAGCAGTTCTATTTTTAATTTTTTGAAGAATCTCCAAACTGTTTTCCATAATGACTGTACCAGTTTACATTCCTGTCAACAGAGTACAAGGGTTCCAATTTCTCTACATCCTCACCAACACTTGCGATCTTTTGACTTTTTGATCGTAGCCATTCTAACAGGTGTGAGGTGATACCTCATTGTGGTTTTGATTTGCATTTTCCTAAAGATTCCCTAAAGTAATGTTGAGCATCTTTTCATATACCTGCCATTTCTATGTCTTCTTTGGAGAAATGTCTATTCAAGTCCTTTGCCCATTTTTAAATCACGTCTTTTTTTTTTTTTTTTTTTTTTTTTTGCTATTGAGTTGTAGAAATTCCTTATGTATGGTTGTCATTGGTATGTGCAGGGAGTTGGCTCTAGGATCCCCTGTGTATACTAAAATTCATGCATACTCAAGTTCTGCATTTGGCCCTGTGGAACTCATGTATATGAAAAGTCATCCCTCTGTATACACAGGTTTTGCTTCCCCCAAATATTGTATTTTTTATCCACATTTGGTTGAAAAAAATCTGCGTATAAGTGGACCCACACAGTTCAAAGCCATATTTTTCAAGGGTCAATTGTATTATAGTTTTAAACTCCTTATCAGATATGGTTTGCAAATATTTTTTCTTATCCCATAGGTTGTCTTTTCACCCAGTTATTTCCTTTGCTTTGCAAAAGCTTTTTAGTTTGATATAGTCCCAATTATCTATTTTTGCTTTTGTTGCCTGCACCTTTGATGTCATAACCAATAAATCATTGCCAGAACTATATCATAAAGCTTTTTCTATATGTTTTATTCTAGAAATTTTAAAATTTCAGGTATTTAATTCATTTTAGCTGATTTTGTGTGTGGTGTAAGATAAGGGTCCAGTTTCTTTTTTTTTTTGCACAAGGATATCTGGTTTTCACAATACCATTTGTTGAACTGACTATTCTTTCTCTACTGTGTATTCTTGGCACCCTGTCAAAGATCAGTTGACCATATATGCCTGCATTTATTTCTGGGTTCTCTATTCTGTTTTATTGATCTATATGTCTGTCTTTATGCCAGTACCATACTGTTTTAATTACTGTAGCTTTGCAATGTATTTTGAAACCAGGAGGTTGTGATGTCTCTAGCTCTTTTCTTTTTGCTCAAGATTGTACTGGCTATTTGGGGTTCTTTGTGGTTCCATACCAATTTCAGGATTTTTTTTTCTTCAACTATAAAAAATGCCATTGGGATTTTGAAAGAAATTGCATTGAATCTGTAGATCATTTGTGTACTGTGGGAATCTCAACAATACTAATTCTTTCACTTTATAAACACAGAATGTCTTTTCATCTATTTGTGTCTTCATTAATTTATTTCATCAGTGTATTGCAATAGTCAGTGTACAAGTCTTTCACCTCTTTTGTTAAGGTTATTCATAAGTAATTTATCTTTTTGATGCTACTATAAATGGGATTTTTTTTGGTTTCCTTTTCAGGTAGTTTATTGTTAGTGTACAGAAATACAATTGATTTTTACATGTTGATTTTATACCCTGCAACTTTACTGAATTGGTTTATTCTAAGAGTTTTTTTCATGGACGCATTAGAGTTTTCTATATATAAGATCATGTTGCCAGGTGTGGTGGCTCATGCCTGTAATCCCAGCACTTTGGGAGGCCAAGGTGGGCGAATCATCTGAAGTCAGGAGTTCAAGACCAGACTGGCCAACTCGGCCAAACCCTGTCTCTACTAGAAATACAAAAATTATCTGAGCTTCGTGGCATGCACCTGTAATCCCAGCTACTCAGGAGGCTGAGGCAGCAGAACCGCTTGAACCTGGGAGGCAGACGTTGCAATGAGCCGAGATTACACCACTGCACTCCAGCCTGGATGACAGAGCAAGACTCTATCTGAAGAAAAAAAAAAGTCATATTATTTTCAGAGATAGTTTTGGGTGCCTTTTGTTTCTTTTTCTTGACTAAGTAATTGCTCTGGCTCATCAAAAAATCATAAGTTGAGCCATCATAATCAAAGACTGTCTGCAGTGTTTCCAGCAATAAATGCATTTTTGACTGGTGATATTTTCAACTTCTGATGGATTTATCAGGATGTAACCCCATCATAACTCAATGAGCATCTATAGAATATGTCTTAGTGTGGATTGACTGCTTTCTTTGCTTATCTGTAAGAAGTAACTCCTCATCTATTCAAGTTTGATCATGAGGTTGCAGCAATTTAGTCACATTTTCAGGCTACACTTCTTCTTTTTTTTTTTTTTCTTTTTTTGAGATGGGGTCTCATTCTGTTGCCAGGCTGGAGTGCAGTGGCATGATCTCGGTTCACTGCAACCACCACCTCCTGGGTTCACGTGATTCTCCCGCCTCAGGCTCCTGCATAGCTGGGATTACAGGCATGCACAACCACGTGTGTATTTAAAAGGGAAACCAGAGCATAAAAATTTGGAAAATTTGCAGCCTGGCCGTGTGGTAGAAAAGAAAAGCCCATTTTTTTCAGGGAAGGAATTCAAGCAGGCTGCAGAAATTTGCATAAGTAAAGAGGATCCAAGTGCTAATATCCAAGACAATTTAAAAAAGTCCTCCAAGGCATTTCAGAGAACTTTGTGCAGCTGCTCCCATCACAGGCCCAGAGGTCTAGAAGGGAAAAATGGTTTTGTGAGCCAAGCCTGGGCCCTGCCACCCCTTGCAGCCTTGGGACACTGCTCCCTGTGTCCCAATTGCCCCACCTCTAACCATGGCTTAAAGTGGCCCAGGTACAGCTTGGGCTGCTGCTTCAGAGAGTGCAAGCCATAAGTCTTGGCACCTTCCATGTGGTGTTAAGCCTGTGGGTGCTCAGAGTGCAAGAGTTGAGGCTTGGGAGCCTCCACCTAGACTTCAGAGGATGTATGGAAAAACCTGGATGTCCAAGCAGAAGCCTGCTGCAGGGGTGGAGCCCTCATGGATAACATCTGCTAGGGCAGTGCAGAGGGGAAATGTGGGGTTGGAGCTTCCACACAAAGTCCCCACTGGGGCACTGCCTAGTGGAGCTGTGAGAAGAGGGCCACTATCCTCTAGACCCCAGAATGGTAGATCCAATCTTAGCTTACACCCTGAACCTGAAAAAGCCACAGGCATGCAACGCCAGCCCATGAGAGCAGTCGCAGGAGCTGACCCCTAGAAATCCAGAGGGGTGGAGCTTCCCAAGGCCTTGAGAACCCACCCCTTGCATCAGAGTGCTCTGGACATGAGACATGGAGTAAAAGGAGATTATTTTGGAGCTTTAAGATTTTATGACTGCCCTGCTGGGTTTTGGGCTTGTATGGGGGCTTTGGGCCATTTTCTTTTATTTGGAATGGCTGTATTCACCCAATGCCTGTAACCTCATTGCATCTAGGAAGTAACTAACTTGCTTCGATTTTACAAGCTCATAGGCAGAAGGGAGTTGCCTTGTCTCGGATGAGACTTTGGACTGTGGACTTTTGAGTTAATGCTGAAATGAGTTAAGATTTGGGGGGACTGTTGGGAAGGCATGATTAGTTTTGAAATGTGAGGGCATGAGATTTGGGAGGGGTCAGGAGTGAACAATATGGTTTGGCTGTGTCCCAACCCAAATCTCATCTTGAATTCCCACATGTTGTGGGAGGGACCTGGTGGGAGGTAATTGAATCATGGGGGCAAGTCTTTTGGAATGGAGTATTTACCCAGTGCCTATATCACCACTGTATCTTGGAAGTAACTAACTTGTTTTTATTTTACAGGCTTATAGGTGGAAGAGGCTAGCCTTGTCTCAGATGAGACTTTGGACTATGGACTTTTGAGTTAATGCTGGAATGAGTTAAGACTTTAGGGGACTGTTGAGAAGAGATGATTGTGTTTTGAAATGTGAAAAGGACATGAGACTTGGGAGGGGCCAGGGGCAGAATGATACAGTTTGAATCTGTGTCCCCACCCAAATTTCATATTGAAATATAATCCCCAAATGCTGGAGGTGAGGCCTGATGGGAGGTGGGGACTCATGGGAGGTGATTGAATCATGGGGATGGTTTCTAATGGTTTAGCACCATCCCCCTAGTACTGTCCTCATGATAGAGTTCTCATGAGATCTGGTTGTTTAAAAGCATGTGGCACCTCCCCACTTTCTCTCTTCCTCCTACTCCAGCCATATGAACTGCCTCACTCCCCCTTTGCCTTCCACCATGATTGGAAGCTTCCTGAGTCCTCCTGAAGAAGCAGAAGCCACTATGCTTCCTGTACAGCCTTTAGAATCATAAGCCAATTAAATCTCTTTATAAACTACCCAGTCTCAGGTATTTCTTTACAGCAATGTGGGAAAGGACAGATATACACTCAAAGTCATCCATGAGGGTTGGAATCAAATCCTACCAAACTCCAGTTAATGTTGCTATTTTGATTTTCTCCCATAAATCACAAATCTTCTTAATGGCATCTAGAATGGTGAATTCTTTCCAGAAGATTTTCTATTTAGTTCGCACAGATCCATTAGAGGAATCAATATCTATGGCAGCTATAGTCTTACAAAATATGTTTCTTAAATAATAAGTCTTGAAAGTTGAAATTGCTCCTTGATCCATGGGCTGAAGAATGAATGTTGTGTTAGCAGGATGAAAACAACATTACTTTCTTTGTACATCTGTATCAGAGCTCTTGGTTGACCAGGAACATTGCCACTGAGGAGTAATACTTAAAACAATCTCTTTTTCTGAATAGTACGTCTCAACTGTGGGCTTAAATATTCAGTAAACCATGCTGTAAACAGACGTGCTGTCATCCAGTCTTTGCTGTTCCATTTTTAGAGCACAGGCAGAGTAGATTTGGCATAATTCTTAAGGGCTCTAGGAGTTTCAGAATAGTAAATAAGCATTGCTTTCAACTTATAGTCGCTAGCTGCATTAGTCCATAACAAGAGTCCAGCCCATCCTTTGAAACTTTGAAGCCAGGCATTGGCTTTCTCCTCTTTAGCTGTTAAAGTCCTAGATGGTATCTTCTTCCAATAGAAAGCTTTTTCATCTACATTGAAAATCTGTTGTTTAGTGTAGCCATCTTCATCAATTATCTTAATTATCTTCTGGATAACTTGAGGCAGCTTCTACATCAACACTTACTGTTTCACCTTGCACTTTTATGTTACAGAGACAGTTTTCCTACTTAAACCTCATTAACCAACCTCTGTTAGCTTCCAACTTTTCTTCTGCAACTTCCTTACCTCTCTGAACCTGCAAAGAATTCAAGAGAGTTTGGATTTTGCTCTAGATTAGGCTGTGGCTTAAGGGAATGTTTTTCCTGCTTTGATCTTCTATCTGGACCACTCAAACGTTCACCATATCAGCAATAAGGCTGCTTTGCTTTATTATCATTTATATATTTACCGGAGTAGCACTTTTAATATGCTTTAAGAACTTTTCCTGTACATTCACAACTTGGCTGACTGTTTGGCACAAGAGGCCTAGCTTTCAGCCTGTCTTGGTTTTTGTCATCCTTTCCTCACTAAGCTTGATCATTTCTAGATTTTGACTTAAAGTGAGAAATGTGGGACTCTTCCTTTCACTTGGACATTTAGAGGCCATTGTAGGATTATTAATTGGCCTAATTTCAATATTGTTGTGTCTCAGGGAGTAGGGACGCCCCAGTAGAGGGAGATAGATGGGAGAATGGCTGGTCAGTGGAGCAGTCAGAACACACACAATATTTATCAATTAAACTTGCCATCTTATGTGGGTATGGTTTGTGGTACCCCAAAACAATTACAACAGTAACATCAAAGATTATCACTCACAGATCACCATGAAAAACATAAGAATAATGACAATGTTTGAAATAGTGTAAGAATTACCAAAATGTGACACAGAGACATTATGTGAGCACATGCTGTTGGGAAAATGGCATTGCTAGACTTGCTTAATGCAGAGTCTTTTTTTTTTTTTCAATTTGTAAACAAACGAACAAACAAAAAACACACACAGTGTCTGCAAAATGCAATAAAGTGCAATAAAATGAGGCGTGCTTGAATCTCCATCGTATTGAGACTGTTTCCGGAGATTTATCCTGTTGCTTTGTTCCGAATATATTTCCCTGTTTCTTCATTTTCCTTGAGTTTTTGTGTCAGTATCTATGCATTAGAAAATGCAGCCACCTTTCCCTACCTTCACGACTGAACTTATGCAGGAGGAAATCCTCATCAGTCAGTCTGCCCAGAGATTTTGGGGGCCTCTCAAACCTTTGTGCTTTGTTCTTAGAGGCCCCCAAAGCATCTTGATTTTACTAGGTCTCATCAGTGCTCTAAGACAGAAGAGACAGAAATCTATCCCTTGAGCAGCCCCTGGAAAAGTTGGAAGGCTGGGTACCTGCTTCAACTCTTCTCCTAGGGAGAAGCTGGGAACAGATGGTTTCCTTCTGATGGTATGGTGATGTGTTGGGGTAGGGATTACAATGAGAGTGTGTTTTGAATTTTCCTACTGGCTTCAATGCGGCTGGTTTCATGTTCATGCAGGGCGCAGGAGCTTCTCAATGAGTTTCTGAATTCCTCGAAAAGGGAATTTGTCCATGCACCGTTGTTGAGCTGTGTCCACTGGGAGAAGGAGAGTCCAGGGCTTCCTACTTGGCCATCTTGCTGATGTTATCCTTCCCATTATGTCTACATAGTCAATGATAAAAATGCATTATTTTTATAGACAGGTAAATTGCTATTTTCTGAAAGCAGTGACTAATGAGAGATAAATGAAATTCTAAAATGAGATTATTGTGTTATGAACTAATAAGGTTATAGAAAGTAGGCTGCAGAATGGAAAGAATCTAGATTGTCAGTTTTCTCCAGTTCACAGGTAGCTCATTGTTGCTTCTGTGGAACTACGGAGGAGGCAGAAGAGGCATGAGTAAAGGCTGATGCCCCAGATAGGACAACCCTGTTCACTCTTTCTGCCAACATAGATGCTCTCTTTTGCTTCTAGACCAGCAAACCATCACATAATGTGTTCTGGGCCTCTTGAAGTCTGGTCTTGAATGTGGTCACTGACAACACTAAACCTTACCTAAGAGTACCCTGTAACTCTTGGAAAAGAGTGAGGGTTAAGAAATCCCCCTACTTTTGTGTTCTGGGAAACAAAAGGCATGTACTGCGAAGATGAACCCCCCCCCCTTCCACATATAACATAGATAAGAGTCATGGATGCCCCTTAGTTCAACAGTTCTCAACCTTTTTGGCACCAGGGACCAGTTTCATGGAAGAAAACTTTTCCACAGATGGGTGGGGGCAGTGGTTTCCAGATGAAACTGCTCTACCTCAGGTCATCAGGCATTAGTTAGATTCTCATAAGGAGTGTGCAACCTAGATCCCTCCCATGCACAGTTCACAATAGGGCTCGTGGTCCTGTGAGAAGTTAAAGTCCTGACAGGAGGTGGAGCTCGGTGGTAGTGCTGGCTGGCCCGCTGCTCACCTCCTGCTGTGGGGCCCGGTTCCTAACAGGCCACAGACTGGTACTGGTCCGTGGCCCAGGGGCTTGGGACCCCTGCCCTTGTTTACCTAGAAAAAGCCAGATACGAACCTGCCAAATTCCTGTTCTTTACCTCATAAATGATTGGCTGAGCAGCAGGTCCCTATTGATCAAACAAAACAAAACCCTTCTTAATCAAAATCTCCTTTCCCCAGGGCCCTGAACTTGGCCCACTCTCAGCCTGGGCCAGAACAAGCTCTTCCTCAGCAGCCCCTCCTGAGCCTAGGCCCACCTGGGGTGCAACCTTCTCTGATCTACTCTCTTTTTTCTTTTCTTTCTTTTCCTTTTTTTTTTTTTTTTTTTTTGAGATGGAGTCTCACTGTGTCGTCCAGGCTGGAGTGCAGTGGCATGATCTTGGCTCACTGCAGCCTCCACCTCCCGGATTCAAGCGATTCTCCTGCCTCAGCCTCTGAAGTAGCTGGGATTACAGAGGCCCATCACCATGGCCGGCTAATTTTTTTGTATTCTTAGTAGAGACAGGGTTTCACCATGTTGGTCAGGCTAGTCTCAAACTCCTGGCCTCAAGTGATCTGCCTGCCTTGGCCTCCCAAACTGCTGGGATTATAAGCGTGAGCCACCCACCGTGCCCGGCTGCTGATCTGTTTTCTGATCATGACACTTCCATTTACCCCACTTTCTAGCCTCATTTTCTCTTCCCTATAAAAGAAAACCCCTTTTTGCTTAACTCTTGAGACATTTGCAGATCTTATGGTTAGAGAGTTCTTCCTATTGTAATAGCCAGTTTCCTTCACCTTTACAATAATCTTTTTTGTTTTTGTATGAGACAGGGTCTTACTCTGTTGCCTAGGCTGGAGTGCAGTGGTCTGATCATAGCTCACTGCACCCTCAAACTCCTAGACTCAAACGATTCTCCCACCTCAGCCTCCCAGAGAGCTAGGACTACAGGTGTGTACCTCCACACCTAGCTAATTTTTGTATTTGTCGTGGAGGCAGAGCTTTGCTGTGTTACCCAGGCTGGTATGATGACCTTTTGGAATCAGGTTTCTCTGTACTACTCCAAGATTTATTTTTGCTTTTGTTTTTGATGCCATATAAGTAAGGGGAAAAAAAAGAAGAAAAAAGTCTTAATCCCACTCTGGGTTAAGGATGGGAGTTAGTATAAACATTCACCCACAAAAAGAAGTTCCTAAACACAACACTTAGTTGAAAATAAGACACCTCAATAGATAGAACCAAAGCAAAAAAATAACCCAGAGTGGAGAGATGTAAAATCTGGAATGAAAAGTGTATGTTGTTTTCTGGGTGAGATGGCTCATGCCTGTAATGCAAGCTACAGGAGAGGCTGAGGCAGGAAGATTGCTTGAGCCCAGGAATTTGAGGCTGCTGTGAGCTATGATTGCATTACTGTACTCTGGCCTGGGTGACAGAGCCAGACCCCAACTCCCTATTTTATTTTATTTATTTTTTGAGACAGGGTCTCACTCTGTTGCTCAGGCTGGGGTGAAATGGTGCGATCTTGGCTCACTGTAGCCTCCACCTCCCGGATTCAAACAATTCTCCTGCCTCAGCCACCAGAGTAGCTGGGAGGCGTGCACCACCATGCCTGGCTAATTTTTGGATTTTTAGTAGAGATGAGGTTTTGCCATGTTGCCCAGGCTGGTCTTGAACTCCTGAGCTTAAGCAATCCACCCACCTTGGACTCCCAAAGTGCTGGGATTACAGACATGAATCACCGCGCCTGGGCAGACCCTGGCTCTCAAAACAAAAAACAAAAACGCATGCTGTGACATGAAGAGAACAGGGCATCATCTGCAAAAATCCAACTCTAAATATCCCTGAGAAAGAAGATTATGAAGCACATGGAATAAAAAGAGGGCCCATTTTATATAAACTTAATGCTGAAAAAAATTCTTTTTTTAATTGCACTTGAACTGTGTATGTAGAGAAAAACGTATTCTAGATTAGCCTTCTTTTTGCAAAATTTGTGTAGGATTTTCTTGGTTTGCCAGTTTTCTTGAAAGAACATCATTTTCTGGTGTGTTTTTTCTTCCAACCCCGCATTTTCAAGCTCATATTGTTCTCGTGAACAAAGCGAGACTCTTTGATCTGGTTTGACACTATGCAGAGCAGAATTTCAGCTATCTGAGAAACACAAACTTCAAACCTGTAGGAGGATTATTAAAAGGCATAAAACTTTACAACCATTAAGCAAAAACAGGCTAGTAGTTATACTTATTAAGGATAATTATAGCATTTAAGTTTAATGACATAAATTGGTCAATGGATAATTTAATCTGGCAGACATCAAAATTACATTTAAATATTAGAGAAAGGAGACAAAACACAAAGAGATGCTTGTTAGATGGGCTCAAAAACTTTTCGAATGCCTTTCTAAAGCTTCGAAATATCTCCTTTAATGTCTTATTTCTTTTCCCACTTAGAGTCAGGTTTATCTGAAATTGTGGCTTTTTGGAAAACTCCGTTTCCACTGAGGTGTGGTAATAGTCGCTTCTGTTATTATTGCAAACTTACTGTGAATATCTCAACTCCATAACCAGTCAAAGATATATATGCCTTCATCTCAGCTCATCATTTGGGAGAAATGAGAGCCACCAAGGCTCATATAAGAACCCACCTGAGGCCAGGCAAGGTGGCTCATGCCTGTAATCCCAGCACTTCAGGAGGCCGAGGCAGGCGGATCACCTGAGGTCAGGTGTTAGAGACCAGTCTGGCCAACATGGCAAAACCCCATCTCTACTAAAAATACAAAAATTAGCTGGGCATGGTGGTGCATGCCTGTAATCACAGCTACCCGGGAGGCTGAGGCAGGAGAATCGTTTGAACCCAGTGGGTGGAGGTTGCAGTGAGCCAAGATTATGCCATTTCACTCCAGCCTGGGCCAAAGAACCCACCTGAATTTGTAAAAGTCTATTGTGGATTTTAAGGGACAAGCTTATTTGTGAGAATTACATAATTTTCTAATCTTGTTAACTTAAAAATGTGGGCTAGATTCTACCTTGGGTTCCCTGATGAGATCTGCATCCATTGTGTTTGTCCCCGAATATTTTTCTTCTCTCTTCCTTTGAGGAATCATATGCCTAACATTAATACTCTTGTTGGGCAGAGCCCTGCTAGCCAATAGCTTCAGAGGATTTTCCAGCTAAGAAGAGCTTAGTGGTGGGGGAAGTGGGAGTGGCTGTGAGGATTTGCTCATTAATCATGCAGAGATGCAGGCTGCATAATGACTGGCAAAGGCGTGGATAAAAGGATGATGCAGGTATTTTTCAAGGACAAGCTTTGGGGTTAGAGATTCCATTTCTAGAGGCAGGACAGACTCAGGAAGCCCAGGGCTCCAGGAAATGTTGGTGTGAGGTAAGGGTTGTGGCTGCTCCACCTACCTCTAGCCCCAGATCTGCTGGCCCCAACTTTGTGCTGAGAGGGCTGTGAATCACTACACGCCCCCACCCCCCCACCCCCCCACAAGCTCCTATCCACTAAGGTTACACCATTAAAGCAGCTTTACTCCTGGAGGTTTCAGTAATTAATCTGTCAGTGTGTCACCATGGCAACATATTTGTATATCTCAAATGCCATGAGCTCCAGCCAGGATTTGAAAAACTGCTTTACCTAGTGCCCTAGCTAGTGATTAGCAAAGGATTATGTTGTAGAACACAGGGCATGCTGGTTGGCTCCAAGGCAAAGGAGGCTTAGGGAACTAATGTTCATTTTTCCTCCTTTAGAAGCGGCTGAGATTCCATTAAGGGATTGGGGACCAGCAGACCCCTTCTGGCTTCATGGGACACATCATGACCTCCTAGGGGCACTAAAAGAGAAATCCTCTGCTGTCCTCCACTCTGCTCTCCTCTCTTCCACTCCTTCTTTCTCTTCTCCCATTTATTAATTCAATAATTCCAAGGAAGGATAAAAGATGCGAGATTTGACTCATTCACCTCAATTCTTAGGCACATGCGCTGGTACAAGACTTTTCTCTCATTTTGTTTCGTTTAATTTCTCCCTCTCATCCCTGATGCCACATATATTTTCTTCCCCATTATAAGTGTTTTTTACTGGACTTCCTAGAAGCAGAACCTGGGACATAGTTTCTTTTTCCTTCCTTCCTTCCTTCCTCTCTCCCTCCCTTCTTTTCTCTTCTCTTCTCTTCTTTCTCTCTTGCTTTCTTGATTCTCTCTCTCTGTGTCTCTCTTCTCTCTCTTTCTTTTAATAAAGAGTCTCACTCTGTTGCAGGCTGACGTACAGTGGCATGATCATGGTTCACTGCAGCTTTGACCTTCTGGGCTTAAGTGATCCCCCACCTCAACCTCCCAAGTAGCTGGGACTACAAGCATGTGCCACTATGCCCACCTAATTTTTAAAATTTTTTTTGTAGAGACAGGGGTCTCACTATGTTGCCTAGGCTGGTCTCCAACTCTTGGGCTCAAACGATCCACTCAAATGATCTCAGCCTCCCAAATTGCTGGGATTACAGGCACGAGCCACCATGCCCCACTTCAGAGTTTCTTGTTCAAGTGGCTTACGGTGGGAGAACTCTCAAGAAATACTGGTTATGGGAGCACGAGAGGGAGAGAAGTGGGCTTAGGCATGTCTAGCGTCAGCCTACTGATAGGGAACCCTGGAGCATGAACAGCACTGCAGGGCTGCCTTCCCCTTCCCTGTCCTGCTGACCCTACCGGGAGGCAAGGGGCAGGCCTGCCATCCATGGCGCTGAGGGTTGCCAGCCAGGCAGCTCTCCTCTGCTGAGGGCAGCTCCCCAAAGAAGCAGGGCAGCTGTGAGACATTTGAAGCCGATACACACAGCAGCTGGGAGGATGCGGACTCCAGAACAGTGAAAGAGATTGGGTGGGTCACCAACAGCTACAACAGGCAATCAGGCTTTTGTATTTAATAAGCATCTGTGTGTCTGTGTGTTTATCTGTTACTGCAGAATACTTAGTACTCATTCAAAAAAATTTATTGAACCCCTACTCTGTGCCTATTTCTATTCTGAAAGCTAGGGGGTTATAGTCATGGTGAAAACAGACAGGATCACCCCTGCCCTTAGGTTGTTGTTAAGTGGAAGAAATAGATATTAAACAATGATTCACACAAATGAACATTTCAGAATGCAAAATGTAATACATGCTGAGAGGGAGAAGCTGAGGTGTGACAAGAGATCACAATGGAAGGTGAGATGCATGCTGGGGTGGAGGGAAGGCCTCCCTGGGGATGGGTATTTATGGCACTGACCTAGAGAGGAGTTGGTGTGAGCTGGCCAGAGAATGGGAGGGAGGCTGCTCCAAGCAGAGGGAGCAGAGGGAGCACCGTCCTGACCAGGAGAAAGGGCTCTGTGAGTTCAGGGAATTGAAAGGAGGTCAGTGTGGCTGGACACAGTGACAAAGGGGTAAGGACATGAGAACAGCAAGAAAGGGGGCCCATGGCAGCAGATGCCAGGCCTCGGAGGTCATGTTCAGGACTTAGAGCTCTCAGTGAAAGCCAGTGGAAATCCACTGAAGACTTCGGGCAAGAAAGAGACATGATGACCATGGGTGGCTCAAGGGCTGTGTGGGGTTTGGAGAAGGCAGGAGTGGAAGCTGGGAGGCTTGTGGAGGTCGAGGGAGAGATGCCGGTGCTCTGGACATGAGTAGTGACAGTGGATGTAAGGAGAAGCCGCTGGCAGAGGAGATTTCAGAGGGAGCAGGTGCAGGGGTTGCTGAGGGTTTGGGTGCAGGGGTGAGGGAAGGTAGGAGTGTAGGTTCACACTCACGTGGAGAGAAGTGCCATTTTCCAGTGGAAGATGCGAGGCAGGCAGTCGGCAGGATGCGTTCAGAGCTCAGGGGATTGGCTGCACTGGAAATTTAAGCCCAGTGGTTGTCAGCACATTGGTGACACTTGGAACCCAGGGATAAAGTACTGCTAAGGAGCAAAAGAAAAGAGAGAGAGAGCAGGACTGAAGCTCATGCGCAGAGAGGAAACCAGCCATGCATCTGAAGAAGAAACCAGAGAGGCAGGAAGAACACAAAACATGGCAGCAACGAACGCAGCAGAGGAAGTTTCAAGGAGGAGGGTAATGAGTCCTGGGGTATGTACACTGTCGGGTGCCAATCAGATGGTCTGTGGACAGGGCCGCAGCAGGGTGCGGTGGAACACGAGAGCTGCAGCCTGCTTTCCACAGGTGCAGCTCTGCTGGGTGAGGAGGGAATGCAGGCTGGATGCAGGGCACTCTTAAGTAAGTTTAGTTATTTGGGGAGGAGGGGAAGGGGCCGCTTCCAGAATGGGAATCAAGATCAGTTTTGTTTTTTTAAGATGGGGGAGATGTTTGAATGCTGGGGAGGAGTTGGTTTATGGGGACAGTTGATGGCACAGGAAAGAGAGGGGTTAATTGCTAGAGAAAAGTCGCTACAGAGGTGGGAGCAGGTGGGAACAGACCACCATTCCCATTATCTGGCCAAAGGGTATGCTGAGCCCATGCACAATGGGGTTCCAGCCTAGAGAGATGACAGCAGAGGAGGGATGGGAACATCTAAGTGGTGAAACTGTCCCTATAGACTTTATAAAATTAATCAGGAAAGAAGGAAGGGGGAGAAATGAAGATAAACCAAGCTTGCAGCACACTCAGCATTGACCATGAGGTCCGCTTGCTCTCTGATCCACTTCCTCACAGCTGTCTGGGGCCTATCGACTCAGGATTACATGAACCCTGTTACGAGATGATCCTTCCCCTTAGCTGCTCTATAGATAACAACTTCAACATTATAAAACATTAACTTTTCCATTTGAGATACTCTTTCAGTTTCTGCATACCAATGAAACTACTGATGCCAGCTGGTCTTAAGGACCTCACAGGAGCTGAGTCACCAAAGAATGCAGTTTCCACATCCTGATGATTTCCTTCCCCTTATCCCAACTAATCAACAACCCCAAATTCTTATCTAGAAATGGACCAAATTCCTTGATATTGACTGGCACTGGCCGAGGCTTCCACATATGGCTCAGTGGATATGTAACAGGATCGTTTGCCCAATGCCTGGCAAGTCAATATAACAAGACAAGGGGGATTGCTGCAGAGAAAAAGTCTAATAATCATAGGAGAGCTAAATGAGGAGGTGGGAAGAAACCTCAAATCCACCAACCTAAGGAATTTGGAGCTACGGATATTAAGGGCTTTGGAAAGGGCTGAGATGTGGGGATTGTTGATTGGTGGAAGAGTGCAGGGTGAAGTCATAGGACAGGGAGATGAAGAAACTGCATTCTCATGCTGATTTGGTTCCTCGTGGGGTCTTCAAACTCATTGGCATCAGCCTTTCCTGATGGAATTCAGGATATGAAGAATATCTTGAGCAATTCTTAAACAAAAGCCTAATGATTCTAACATCAGAAGTCCTATCTATGGGGAAAATGGGATTTAAACAGTCAGTATCTTGAGCTGCATGACTTTCAGTTTAAGGAAGTGGGCCAGAGTGCAGCCTGATTAATGCTTAATTATAACTATATTTCTGCCCCAAACCTGGCATCTAAATTCTTGTTAACCCTATGAGGATGGTTTTATTATTATTATTATTATAAAAGAAAGAGGTTTAATTGTCTCATGGCTCTGCAGGGCTGGGGAGACCTCAGGAAGCTTACGATCATGGTGGATGGGGAAGCAAACATATCCTTCTTCACATGAGGCACGAAGGAGAAGTGCTGAACAAAGGGGGAAAACCCTTACAAGGGATGGTCCTTATAAAACCACTAGATCTTGTGAGAACTCACTTACTATCACAAGAACAGCATGGGAGAAACCACCCCGATGATTCGATTACCTCTCACTGCATCCCTCCCACAACACATGGGGATTATGGGAACTACTATTCAAGATGAGATTTGAGTGGGGACAAAGCCAAACCATATCATTCCACCCCTGGCCCCTCCCAAATCTTATGTCCTCACATTTTAAAACACAATCATGCCTTTCCAACAGTACCCTAAAGTCTTAGCTTTTTCCAGAATTAACCCAAAAGTCCAAATCCAAAGTCTCATCTGAGACAAGGCAAGTTTCTTCCTCCTATGAGCCTGTAAAATCAAAACAAGTTAGTTACATCCTAGATACAATGGGGGTACAGGCACTGGGTAAATATACCCATTCCAAATGAGAGGAATTGGCCAAAACTAAGGGGCTACAGACACCATGCAAATCTGAAATCCAATAGGGCAGTCATTAAACCTTAAAGCTCCCAAATGATCTCCTTTGACTCCATGTCTCACATCCAGGTCACACTGATGCAAGAGGTAAGTTCCCACAGCCTTGGGCAGCTCCACCTCTGTGGCTTTGCAGGGTACTGTCCCCTACTCCTGGCTGTTTTCACAAACTGGCACTGCATTTCTGTGGCTTTTCCAGGTACATGGTGCAAGCTGTTGGTGGATCTACCATTCTGGAGTCTGGATGATGGTGGCTCTCTTCTCACAGCTCCACTAGACAGTGCCCTATTAAGGACTCTGTGTGGAGGCTCTGACCCCACATTTCCCTCCCTCACTACCCTAGCAGAGGTTCTCCATGAGGACTCCACCACTGCAGCAAACTTCTGCCTGAACATCCTGGCATTTCCATACATCCTCTGAAATCTAGGCAGAGGTTCCCAAACCTCAATTCTTGACTTCTGTGTACCTGCAGGCTCAACACTATGTGGAAGCTGCCAAGGCTTGGGCTTACACCCTCTAAAGCTACAGACTGAGCTGTACTCTGGCCCCTTTTAGCCACAGCTGAAGCAGCTGGGATGCAGGGCACCAAGTCCCTATTTTGCACACAGCAGGGGTCCCTGAGCCCAGCCCAGGAAACCATTTCTCCCTCCTAGGCCTCTGGACCTGTGATGGGAGGGGCTGCCATGAAGGTTTTTGACATACCGTGGAGACCTTACCCCATTGTTTTGGAGGTTAAAATTTGGCTCCTCGTTACTTATGCAAATTTCTGCAGCAGGCTTAAATTTCTCCCCAGAAAATGGGTTTTTCTTTTCTATTCCATGTTCAGGCTGCAAATTTTCCAAATTTCCATGCTCTGCTTCCTCTTGAATGCTTTGCTGCTTAGAAATTTCTTCCACCAGATACCCGAAATCATCTCTCTCAAGTTTGAAGTTCCACAAATCCCTATGAGGATGGTTTTAGACACTCTTGGGTGATTCGTCTCCCTGCAGGTATAACGCTGAACCATGCTTCTGCAGGCATCTGGTCCCTGGCACAGTCAGTGACTCCAGAGCCAGTACCAGCCCATCAGGGCAACCCTCTTCTCAGGCCCCAGACTCCCCTCCTCCCTACTTCTGGCCACTGAATAATGAAGTCCACCAAATCTTGAGATGACACTGTCAACCCTGCTTTCCCACAGCTCCCTAATTCCATGTCTCCCATAGTCTCCGATTATTTCCAGGGGTGCCTTGAAATGTAAAAGATATTCAAAGCAAAATTTGTTGGCAGTCAACTTTATTCGTACAAGCATTCCATTAAGGCACTTAAAGGGATGGCAGAAAATCAAACAATGGGAGGGACACGCTGCCCTTGAAAAGGAGTTTCTTTGCTGATGCCACCACCGGAAATAGTGCCATTAATTTTATAAAAGAGGTATCATATTCAGAAAGACTCTATCAACCACTGTAAATGCTTTGGAGCCTCTAACAGTTGTGAAATGTGGAAGCCAAGGATGTAGGGGCCTGTTGGAGTGCGCCCATTCCTGGATCTGGGAAGGAGACGCCTTTGAAGCTGTACCTCTCGGATGGCTTTGATCCTCCAAGACCCAGATATAAAGACAAGATGAGGGAGGTGTTATTAGTGTTATTATTTATACTTGGTGGAGCTTACATGTGGGACCTCCTTTATAAAGTGCTTTGGGCACTACTGATTTATAAGTAATTTCACTTCTCACAGCATCACTTCTGGGTGGAGGAAGAATGCCAGAGGCAGCTCTGGAAATAATCACTTTTCTCCAAGATAGAGTACTCATTAATCCAGGCCTAGTGGGAACATCTATTCCCTTTATTGTATCCTTTTACTGGAAATTATTTCTTTAGTAGAAGGTCATGTGCCTCAGTGACCTGGAATGGGGGTTCTCCAGTAATTTCTATCATTCTCCCCTGTTGAAAGCTTATGTATTGAGAACATCTGGGTAAGAGTCACAGGCAGCTTGGAAAAGAGGGCAGTGATTAGGGATTTCTAGTTTTATTATTTTTTTTTAGCATTTGTTGAGATTGGTTTAAAATCCAGGACATGGTTAATCTTGGTGAATGCTCCCTAGGCACTTGAAAAGCACATGTATTCTGCTGTTATAGGGTTGTTTGTTCTGTTAGATCCTGTTGGTTGAAGGTGTTGTTCAATTCTTCTATATCCTCATTATTTTCTTTTTTATTTTTTTAGAGACAGGGTCTATCTCTGTTGTCCAGGCTGGAGTGCAGTGGTGCAGTCATAGCTCACTACAGCCTCAAACTCCTGGGTTCAAGTAATCCTCCTGCCTCAGCCTCCTGAGTAGTTAGGACTACAGGCTTGTGCCACTATGCCTGGCTAATTTTTAAAATTGTTATTTTTTCTTTTTCTGTGCCTAACGTAGCCATGGCTCGTGGTCCCAAGAAGCATCTAAAGCAGGTAGCAGCTCCAAAGCATTGGATGCTGGATAAATTGACTGGTGTGTTTGCTCCTCATCCATCCACCAGTCCCCACAAGTTGAGAGAGTGTCTCCCCCTCATCATTTTCATAAGGAACAGACTTAAGTATGCCCTGACAGGAGAGGAAGTAAAGAAGATTTGCATGCAGCGGTTCATTAAGATCGATGGCAAGGTCCGCACTGATATAACCTACCCTGCTGGATTCATGGATGTCATCAGCATTGACAAGATGGGAGAGAATTTCTGTCTGATCTGTGACACCAAGGGTCACTTTGCTGTACATCGTATTACACCTGAGGAGGCCAAGTACAAGTTGTGAAAAGTGAGAAAAAATATTTGTGCGCACAAAAGGAATCCCTCATCTGGTGACTCATGATGCTCGTACCATCTGCTACCCTGATCCCCTCATCAAGGTGAATGACACCATTCAGATTGATTTGGAGACTGGCAAGATTACTGACTTCATCAGGTTCGACACTGGTAACCTGTGTATGGTGACTGGAGGTGCCAACCTGGGAAGAATTGGTGTGATCACCAACAGAGAGAGGCACCCTGGATCTCTTGACGTGGTTCACATGAAAGATGCCAATGGCAACAGCTTTGCCACTTGACTTTCCAACATTTTTGTTGTTTGCAAGGGCAACATACCATGGATTTCTCTTCCCCAAGGAAAAGGTATCTGCCTCACCATTGCTGAAGAGAGAGACAAGAGATTGGCAACCAATCAAAGCAGTGGGTAAAATGGTCCCTGGATGGCATGTTAGATCTTTGTATGTAATTAAAAATAATGTGGCATGATTGATAGCCAAAAATAAAATAATTATTATTATTTTGTAAAGACAGGGTCTCATTAAGTTTCCCAGGCTGGTCTCAAACTTCAGGCCTCAGGTAATTCTCCTGCCTTGGCCTCCCAAAGTGCTGGGATTACAGGCATGAGCTATCACGCCTGGCTCCTTGTGGATTTTCTATCTAGTAGTTCTATCAATTACTGAGAAAAGAGTGTTGAAGTCTCCAACTATAATAGTAGATTTGTCAATTTCTTCCTTTGGCTTTATCAGTTTTTGCTTCATGTATTTGAAAGATCTGTTTTTGGTGCATACACACTTAGGTTTGCTATCTCTTGTTGGTAGATTGATCTTGATCTTTTATCATCATGTAAAATTCCTCTCCGTGTCTGGTAATTTCTTTGCTCTGAAGTCTACCTTGATATTCATATAGCCACTCTTCCTTTTTAAAATTTAATACTTATGTGATATATCTTTTTCTATGCTTTTACTTTTTACTTAGCTATATCATTATGTTTGAATTGAGTTTTTTATAGACAGCATAACATTGGGTAATGTTTTTAAATCTACTCAGCTAATCTTGTCTCATTTTTAATTTAAAAATTTTTTACACATAATAATTGTATGTATTTATGGAGTACAATGTGATGTTTTGATACATAAATATATTGTGTGATGATCAAATCAGGGTAATTAGCATATCTATCACCTCATTTATTATTTATTTGTTACAGGCACATACAAAATCCTCTTTTCTAGCTATTTTGAGATACTCTACTGTGCAATAGGACATCAGAACTTATTCTTCCTTTCTAATTATAACTTTGTACCCATTGCAATCCTGTCTCTTAATTAATGTATTTAGTCCGTTTACATTTAAAGTGATTATTGACCTGTTAGAGTTTAATTTGTTTACCATTTGTTCCCTGTTTCTTGTTACCTGGTTATCTTCCTTCTGCCTTCTCGTGGGTTACTTGAATGTTTTTTAGAGTTCCACTTTGATTTATTTATATATATTTTTAGTATACCATTTTGTATAGTTTTTGTAGTGGTCGTTCTAGCTACTATTCTATTCATATGTAAATTATCACAGCTTACTGGTGTCAATGTCTTACCATTTCCATTGAAGGGTAGAAAGCTTACTTCCTTTTAATTCCTTTATCCTCCACACCTACAAAAATATAATTGTCCTAGGTATAACCTCTACATACATATCAGAAAATGTATAACTTTTGCTTCAACCATAAATACGATCAAAGAAACTAATGAATGGATGTTGAATATTTACTTCTATTTTTACTGAAATGGAATAATAAAAGGCTGAAAATCCCAGCCTTTTATTATCATTGTCTTTCTGTTTTGAGGGATTTTGTTAGCAATTCTTTAAAGGTAGGTCTGCTATCAACAACTTCTCTTAGTTTCTCTATGCCTGAGACTGTCTTTTTTCCCCTTACATTCCTGAAGAATAGTTTCACCATCTATATAAGATTTATGATTGGGAGGTCTTTCTTGCAGCATTTGGAAGATATGTCACTTCCTTCTGGACTCCACGGTTTCTGATGAGGAACCTGTTCTTCACATTGGGGTTCCTTTACAGGCCATGTTTTGCTTCTCTCCAGCTGTGACCTTTGTCTTCAGTGTTCAGAAATTTAATTATGATATGTCTTGGTGTAGGTTATGCTAGGTGGATTTTATTTGAAGTATGCTGAGCTGCTTGGATCTGCAATTTTATGTTTTTTGACACCTTTGGAAAATTTTCTTCTTCTTTCTTTCTTTTCTTTTTTTTCTTTCTTTTTTTTTTTTTTTGAGAGGGAATCTCACTCTGTCGCCCAGGCTGGAGTGCAGTGGTATGATCTCGGCTCACTGCAACCTCTGCCTCCTGGGTTCAAGCGATTCTCCTGGCTCAGCCTCCCAAGTAGCTGGGACTGCAGGCACATGCCACCATGCCTGGCTAATTTATGTATTTTCAGTAGAGACAGGTTTCACTATGTTGGCCAGGCTGGTCTCAAACTCCTGACCTCAGGTGATCCACCTCCCTCGGCCTCCCAAAGTGCTGGGATTACAGACGTGAGCCACTGTGCCCGGCTGAAAATTTTCTTTTTCTTTTTTTTTTGTTTTTTTTTTTTTTGTCTTTTGAGACAGGGTCTTACTTTGTCACCCAGGCTGGAACGCAGTGGTTTGATCTTGGCTCACTGGAGCCTCGACCTACCAGTTTCAAGCAATCCTTCTGCCTCAGCCCCCCCAAGTAGCTGGGACTACATGCACACACCACCATGCCAGGCGAGTTTTTGTATTTTTTGTAGAGATAAGGTTTTGCCATGTTGCTCAGTCTGGTCTTGAACTCCCGGCCTTAAGTGATCAGCCAGCCCTGGCCTCCCATCGTGCTGGGATTATAGGCGTGAGCCACCGTGCTTGGCCTACAGGAAATTTTCAGCATTATTTCTTTGCATTCTTTATCTCTCCATGTTCTTTCTCCCTTATTTTCTGGACTTTAATGATATGAATGTTGGATCTTTTGTGATTGTCTCAGAGATATCTGAGGCTCTGTTCTTTTTTTTCAGTCTATTTTCTCTTCATTGTTCAGATTGTGTATATGCTACTGACTTACCCTCAAGTTCACAGATTCTATTCCTGTCATCTCTACTCTACTGTTGAACCCATCCAGTGAGTTTTTATTTTGATTGTAGTATTTCTAAGTTCTATAATTGCTGTTTGGTTCTATTTTTTGCTGAGATTCTCTATGTTTTCATTTGTTTCAAGGCGTAATATTATGGAATATATATTTTGATTTTGTCCACAGTTCCTGGCTCATAACTCTTGTAATTTCCTGAGTGACTAGAGCAGTAGGATTGTCTTTTGTTAAAATATTTGACCTTTCGTCCTCGGATCTGAAATAGTTTTAGAATAGCTCCAGAGTTGTAAGGTGAACATGTCTTTTGTTATTTATAACAATCCCCTTTTGACCACACTTGAGTTTGTTAATGAGGTGGTTTTTGGAGAGTCCCTAGATAACCACTGGATGGGTGACTGGTTGCCAGGGGACCCAACCATGTGATTAATGGGTTGGCACTCACAGCCCCATCCTCCACTTCGGGGGACAGGAGAGGGCCTGAAGTTTGAGATGATCACCAGTGGCCAATGATTTAATTATGGCTACATTATGAAACCTCTGTAAAAACTCAAAAGGACAGGGTTTGGAGAGCTTACAGAAGCTGAACACGTGGAGGTTCCTGGTGAGTGGCACGCCAGGAAAGGACGTGGAAGCTACAAGCCCCTTCCACCTGGCTGTCCATCTGGATTCTTTGTAAAATCCTTTATAATAAATGGGGAACTATAAGTAAAGTGTTTACCTGAGTTCTGTGAGCCACCCTAGCAAATTAATCAAACTCCAGATGGAGATCATGGGAATCCGTGACTAAGAGCCAGTTAGTCAGAAGTATAAGTGACAACATACTATTAATACTTGTGACTGGCATGTGAAATGCAGGGGGCAGTCCTATGGGATTGGGCTCTCAGCCTGAAACTGTCCTCACAGGTCTAACAAGAGTTACATGCTGGGTTCTGGAATAGAAATATAGTTATGATTAAAATGTTTCTGGGGTCGTGGGCAAGATGGCCGAAAAGGAACAGCTCCAGTCTGCAGCTCCCAGCGAGATCAACGCAGGTGGGTGATTTCTCCATTTCCAACTGAGGTACCTGGCTCATCTCACTGGGACTGGTTAGACAATGGGTGCAGCCCATGGGGAGTGAGCCCAAGCAAGCTGGGGTGTCGCCTCACCCAGGAAGCACAAGGGGTCAAGGAACTCCCTCCCCTAGCCGAGGGAAGCCGTGAAGGACTGTGCCGTGAGGGATGGTGCCCTCTAGCCCAGATACTACACTTTTCCCATGGTCTTCGCAACCTGCAGACCAGGAGATTCCTCAGGTACCTACACCACCAGGGCCCTGGGTTTCAAGGACAAAACTGGGCAGCTGTTTGGGCAGACACCGAGCTAGCTGCAGGAGCTTTTTTTCATACCCCAGTGGCACCTGGAATGCCAGCAAGAGAGAACCATTCACTCCCCTGGAAAGGGGGCTGAAGCTAGAGAGCCAAGTGGTCTAGATTAGCAGATCCCACCCCCACAGAGCCCAGTAAGCTAAGATCCACTGGCTTGAAATTCTCGCTGCCAGCACAGCAGTCTGAAGTGGACCTGGGACGCTGGAGCTTAGTGGGGGGAGGGGCGTCTGCCATTACTGAGGCTTGAGTAGGGGTTTTCCCCTCACAGTGTAAACAAAGCCACTGGGAAGTTCGAACTGGGCAGAGCCCACTGCAGCTCATCAAAGCTGCTGTAGCCAGACTGCTTTTCTAGATTCCTCCTCTCTGGGCACGGCATCTCTGAAAGAAAGGTAGCAGCCCCAGTCAGGGGCTTATAGACGAAACTCCCATCTCCCTGGGGCAGAGCACCTGGGGGAAGGAGCGGCTGTGGGTGCAGCTTCAGCAGACTTAAATGTTCCTGCCTGCCTGCTCTGAAGACAGCAGCGGATCTCCCAGCACGGCACTTGAGCTCTGCTGAGGGACAGACTGCCTCCTCAAGTGGGTCCCTGACCCCCGTGCCTCCTGACTGGGAGACACCACCCAGCAGGGGTTGACAGACAGCTCATACAGGAGAGCTCCGGCTGGCATCTGGTGAGTGCCCCTCTGGGACAAAGCTTCCAGAGGAAGGAACAGGCAACAATCTTTGCTGTTCTGCAGCCTTTGCTGGTGATACCCAGGCAAACAGGGTCTGGAGTGAACCTCCAGCAAACTCCAGCAGACCTGCAGCAGAGGGGCCTGACTGTTAAAAGGAAAACTAACAAACAGAAAGAAATAGCATCAATATCAACAAAAAGTATGTCCACACAGAAACCCCATCCGAAGGTCACCAACATCAAAGACCAAAGGTAGATAAATCCATGAAGATGAGGAAAATCCAGCGCAAAAAGGCTGAAAATTCCAAAAACCAGAATGCCTCTTCTCCTCCAAAGGATCACAACTCCTCGCCAGCAAGGGAACAAAACTGGACAGAGAAAGAGTTTGACGAATTGACAGAAGTAGGCTTCAGAAGGTGGGTAATAACAAACTCCTCCGAGTTAAAGGAGCATGTTATAACCCAATGCAAGGAAGCTAAGAACCTTGAAAAAAGGCTAGAGGAATTGCTAACTAGAGTAATCAGTTTGGAGAAGAACACAAATGACCTGATGGAGCTGAAAAACATAGCACAAGAACTTCTTGAAGCATACACAAGTATCAATAGCTGAATTGATCAAGCAGAAGAAAGGATATCAGAGATTGAAGATCAACTTAATGGAATAAAGTGTTAAGACAAGATTAGAGAAAAAAGAATGAAAAGGAATGAACAAAACCTCCAAGAAACATGGGACTATGTGCAAAAGACCAAACCTACGTTTGATTGGTGTGCCTGAAAGTGATGGGGAGAATGGAACCAAGTTGGAAAACACTCTTCAGGATATTATCCAGGAGAATTTCCCCAACCTAGCAAGACAGGCCAAGATTCAAATTCAGGAAGTACAGAGAACACCACAAAGATAATCCTCAAGAAGAGCAACCCCAAGACACATAATCGTCAGATTCACCAAAGTTGAAATAAACGAAATAATGTCAAGGGCAGCCAGAGAGAAAGGTCAGGTTACCCCAAAGGGAAGCCCATCAGACTAACAGTGGATCATTCTGCAGAAACCCTACAAGCCAGAAGAGAGTGGGGGCCAATATTCAACATTCTTAAAGAAAACAATTTTCAACCCAGAATTTCATATCCCACCAAACTAAGCTTCATAAGCAAAGGAGAAATAAAATCCTTTACAGACAAGAAATACTGAGAGATTTTGTCACCACCAGGCCTGCCTTACAAGAGCTCCTGAAGGAAGCACTAAGTATGGAAAGGAAAAACCGGTACCAGCCCTTACAAAAACACACTAAATTGTAAAGACCATTGACACTATGAAGAAACTGCATCAGCCGGGCGTGGTGGCTCACGCCTGTAATCCCAGCACTTTGGGAGGCTGAGGTGGGCAGATCACGAGGTCAGGAGATTGAGATCATCCTGTCTAACATGGTGAAACCCCGTCTCTACTAAAAATACAAAAAAAATTTAGCCGGGCGTGGTTGCAGGCGCCTGTAGTCCCAGCT
The DNA here is from genome assembly GCF_000001405.40 of Homo sapiens. Taxonomy (NCBI): domain Eukaryota; kingdom Metazoa; phylum Chordata; class Mammalia; order Primates; family Hominidae; genus Homo; species Homo sapiens. Next base: position 4,623,218 of record NC_000020.11, on the reverse strand, counting down.
ACTCGGGAGGCTGAGGCAGGAGAATGGCCTGAACCCGGGAGGCAGAGCTTGCAGTGAGCGGAGATCACGCCACTGCACTCCAGCCTGGGTGACAGAGTGAGCCTCCATCTCAAAAAAAAAAAAAAAAAAAGAAAGAAACTGCATCAACTAATGGGCAAAATAACCAGCTAGCATCATAATGACAGGATCAAATTCACACATAACAATATTAACCTTAAATGTAAATGGACTAAATGCCCTAATGAAAAGACACAGACTGGCAAATTGGATAGAGAGTCAAGACCATCAGTGTGCTGTATTCAGGAGACCCATCTCACATGCAAAGACACACATAGGCTCAAACTAAAAGGATGGAGGAATATTTACCAAGCAAATAGAAAGCAAAAAATAAAAAATAAAAATAAATAAAAAAAAGCAGGGGTTGCAATCCTAGTCTCTGATAAAACAGACTTTAAACTAGCAAAGATTGAAAAAGACAGAGAAGGCCATTACATAATGGTAAAGGGATCAAAGCAACAAGAAGAGCTAACTATCCTAAATATATATGCACCCAATATAGGAGCACCCAGATTCATAAAGCAAGTTCTTAGAAACCTACAAAGAAACCTAGACTCCCATACAATAATAGTGGGAGACTTTAACATGCCACTTTCAATATTAGACAAATCAACAAGACAGAAAATTAGCAAGGATATTCAGGACTTGAACTCAACCCTGGACCAAGCAGACCTAATAGAAATCTACAGAACTCTCCACCCCAAATCAATACATTCTTCTCAGCACCACATCACACTTATTCTAGAATTGACCACATAATTGGAAGTAAAACACTCCTCAGCAAACAAAAAAGAACAGAAATCATAACAGACAGTGTCTCAGCCCACAATGCAATCAAATTAGAACCCAGGATTAAGAAACTCCCTCAAAACTGTGCAACTACATGGAAATGGAACAACCTGCTCCTGAATTGCTACTGGGTAAATAACAAAATTAAGGGAGAAATAATAAGTTTTTTGAAACCAATGGGAACAAAGACGCAATGTACCAGAATCTCTGGGACACAGCTAAAGCAGTATTTAGAGGGAAATTTATAGCACCAAATGCCCACAGGAGAAAGCAGGAAAGATCTTAAATTGACACCCTAACATCACAATTAAAAGAACTAGAGAAGCAAGAGCAAACAAATTCAAAAGCTAGCAGAAGGCAAGAAATAACTAAGATCAGAGCAGAACTGGAGGAGATAGAGACACAAAAAAACCCTTCAAAAAATCAATGAATCCAGGAGCTGGTTTTTTGAAAAAATTAACAAAATAGACTGCTAGCCAGACTAATAAAGAAGAGAGAAGAATCAAACAGACACAATAAAACATGATAAAGGGGATATCACCATCGATCCCACAGAAATACAAACTACCATCAGAGAATACTATAAACACCTCCACTCAAATAAACTAGAAAATCTAGAAGAAATGGATACATTCCTGGACACATACACCCTCCCAAGACTAAACCAGGAAGAAGTTGAATCACTGAATAGACCAATAACAAGTTCTGAAATTGAGGCAGTAATTAATAGCCTACCAACCAAAAAAAAGCCCAGGACCAGACAGATTCACAGCCGAATTCTACCAGAGGTAGAAAGAAGAGCTGGTACCATTCCTTCTGAAACTATTCCAAACAATAGAAAAAGAGGGACTCCTCCCTAACTCATTTTATGAGGCCAGCATCAGCCTGATACCAAAACTTGGCAGAGACACAACAAAAAAAGAAAATTTCAGGCCAATATCCCTGATGAACATCAATGCGAAAATCCTCAATAAAATACTGGCAAACTGAATTCAGCAGCACATCAAAAAGCTTATCCACCATGATCAAGTCGGCTTTATCCCTGGGATGCAAGGCTGGTTCAACATATGCAAATCAATAAACGTAATCCATCACATAAACAAAACCAAAGACAAAAACCACATGAGTATCTCAATAGATGCAGAAAATGCCTTTGATAAAATTCAACACCCCTTCATGCTGAAAACTCTCAATAAACTAGATATTGATGGAGCATATCTCAAAATAATAAGAGCTATTTATGACAAACCCATAGCCAATATCATACTGAATGGGCAAAAGCTGGAAGCACTCCCTTTGAAAACCAGCACAAGACAAGGATGCCCTCTCTCACCACTCCTATTCAACATGTATTGGAAGTTCTCACCAGGGCAATCAGGCAAGAGAAAGAAAGAAAGAAAGGGTATTCAAATAGGAAAAGAGAAAGTCAAATTGTCTCTGTTTGCAGATGACATGACTGTATATTTAGAAAACCCCATCACCTCAGCCTAAAATCGCCTTAATCTGATAAGCAACTTCAGCAAAGTCTCAGGATACAAAATCAATGTGCAAAAGTCACAAGCATTCCTATACACCAATAACAGACAAACAGAGAGCCAAATCATGAGTGAACTCCCATTCAGAATTGCTACAAAAAGAATAAAATACCTAGGAATAAAACTTACAAGGGATGTGAAGGACCTCTTCAAGTAGAACTACAAACCACTGCACAAGGAAATAAGACAGGACACAAACAAATGGAAAAACATTCCATGCTCATAGATAGGAAGAATCAATATTGTGAAAATGGCCATACTGCCCAAAGTAATGCTATAAGCTACCATTGACTTTCTTCACAGAATTAGAAAAAACTACTTCAAATTTCATATGAAACCAAGAAAGAGCCTGTATAGCCAAGACAATCCTAAGCAAAAAGGACAAAGCTGGAGGCATCACACTACCTGACTTCAAACTATACTACAAGGTTACAGTAACCAAAAAAGCACGGTACTGGTACCAAAACAGAGATATAGACCAACGGAACAGAACAGAGGCCTCAGAAATAACGCCACACATCTACAAGCATCTGATCTTTGACAAACCTGACAAAAACAAGCCATGGGGAAAGAATTCCCTATTTAATAAATGGTGTTGGGAAAACTGGCTAGCCATATGCAGAAAACTGGAACTAGACCCCTTCCTTACACCTTATACAAAAATTAACTCAAGATGGATTAAAGACTTAAATGTAAGACCTAAAATCATAAAAACCCTAGAAGAAAACCTAGGCAATACCATTCAGGACATAGGCATGGGCAAAGACTTCATGACTAAAACACCAAAAGCAATGGCAACAAAAGTCAAAATTGACAGATGGGATCTAATTAAACTAAAGAGCTTCTGCACAGCAAAAGAAACTATCATCAGGGTGAAAAGGCAACCTACAGAATAGGAGAAAATTTTTGCAATCTCTCCTTCTGACAAAGGGCTAATATCCAGAATCTACAAAGAACTTAAACAAATTTACAAGAAAAAAACAACCCCATCAAAAAGTGGGCAAAGGATATGAACAGACACTTCTCGAAAGAAGTCATTTATGTGGCCAGCAAACATATGAAAAAAAGCTCATCATCACTGGTCATTAAAGTAATGCAAATCAAAAACCACAATGAGATGCCATCTCACACCAGTTAGAATGGTGATCATTAAAAAGTCAGGAAACAACAGAGGCTGGAGAGGATGTGGAGAAATAAGAACGCTTTTACATTGTTGGTGGGAGTGTAAAGTAGTTCAACCATTGTGGAAGACAGTGTGGCAATTCCCCAAGGATGTAGATCCTGAAATACCCTCCCATTACTGGGTACATATCCAAAGGATTATAAATCATTCTACTATAAAGACACATGCACACATATGTTTACTGCGGCACTGTTCGCAATAGCAAAGACTTGGAACCAACCCAAATGCCCATCAATGATAGACTAGATAAAGAAAATGTGGCACATATACACCATGGAGTACTATGCAGCTATGGAAAATGGATGAGTTCATGTCCTTTGCAGGGACATGGATGAAGCTGGAAATCATAATTCTCAACAAACTAACACAGGAACAGAAAAGCAAACACTGCATGTTCTCACTTATAAGTGGGAGTTGAACAATGAGAACACATGATAATGGGGAGGGGAACATCACACACCACGGCCTGTCGGGATGAGGGGCAAGGGGAAGGATAGCATCAGGAGAAATACCTAATGTAGATGGTGGGTTGATGAGTGCAGCCAACTACCATGGCACGTGTATACATATACAACAAACCTGCACGTTCTGCACATGTATCTTAGAATTTAAAGTATAATTAAAAAACAAACAAATAAACAAATAAAAAGAAATATAGTTATAAGTAAGCATTGGTCAGGCTGCACTCTGGCCCACTCCCTTGGGGCTGCTTGCTAACTGAAAGTCGCGCACTAGACTATTTTCATCCCCATTGTTCCTATAGACGGAACTTCTGATGTTAGAATCATAAGGCTTTTATGAATTGCTTAAGATGTTTTTCAGATCCTGAATTCCAGCAGCAACGGCTGACACCCACCAGTTTGAAGACCCCCCACAACAGGGAACCAGATCAGCTTGAGAATACAGTTTCTTCATCTCCCTGTCTCCTGGCTTTACCCTGCACCCTTCGACCAATCAGTGATTCCCCAGACCTCAGCCCACTCCAAACCCCTAAAAACCTCTGGCCCCAAACTCCTCTGGGCGGTGGATTTGAGGTTTCCTCCCCCTCATTTGGCTGCCTTATGATTAAACCTCTTTCTCTGCTGCAACCCTGTGTCTCAGTGCATCGGGCAACGAACCTGGTAGAGTTACCAACCTGTGGGATCTGATGCTATCTCCAAGTAGAAAGTGTCAGAATTGAATTAAATTAGGGGACATCCAGCTGGTGTCCAGTGGAGAATTGCTTGCTTTGTGTGTGAGGAGAAACCCTCACACATCTAGTGTCAGAAGCATTGTGTTGAGGAGTGTGTGAGAGTAGAGAGTAGGAAAAACATTCTGAGTTCTGGATATGGTGCAGTTTTTTACTGCATCCTGGACATTTTGATTCTTCTGTCAGGAGACTCTTTTTTGTTTTTTGTTGTTTTAAATTTTTTTATGTTTTGAGACAGGGTTTTTTGCTCTTGTTGCCCAGGCTTGAGTGCAATGGCATAATCTCAGCTCACTGCAACCTCCGCCTCCCGGGTTCAAGCAATTCTCCTGACTCAACCTCCCAGATAGCTGAGACTACAGGCAGGTGCCACCATGCTCGGCTAATTTTGTATTTTTAGTAGAGACGGGGTTTCACCATGTTGCCCAGGCTGGTCTCGAACTCCTGACCTCAGGTGATCCACCCACCTCGGCCTCACAAAGTCCCGGGACTATAGGCATGTGCCACCATGCCCAGCTGGAGATTCTTGATCCTAAGTCTTCTGTTTCAATGAGGCTTCACCTTGTTTAGGTTTGATTCATAGGATCTGGTCGACTTTTGTGGGCATTTGTATCAATGACAGTTTAGTTTTCTGAGCCCTTTGAATTCTATTCTGGTTTTGTTTTGTTTTTCCTCTTTGTTCTCCTGGTATTGCTGGGGTTCACACTCAGCCTTTGCTGGTGCTCTCTGGGGGTGGAAGCACACTGTGGAATCTCAACAGAGAACAGGGAGACACAGAGCTCGGCTGATGCCAGCCCAGCTGGTGGATCAGACGGGCTGCAGGGACTCTGGTTGTGGAAGGAGGATTCAGGATCCCAACTCAGGCTCTGCTGGGCTTTCCCTTTCGTTTGGCTGGACAAAGCAGGCTTCTCTTGGATTATTTTGTCTATTCCTGTTGGTGGTTCCAAGTTGCAGGCCCATCGGGTGCCCAGCCTGAAGGTACGTGGGAGATAAAAAGGAAACCTAGGGGACTCACCAGACCTCTCAAGTCTTGAAGCTCCCAGCCAGTCTGCCTTCCTTCTCTCGGCTTTCAGAGTCCTTGTATCATGGTCCATTGACTAATTAGCGGGGTATGTAGTTGTATTTAGAGGGTAACAACAGAGAAAAGTGACTCAGTGCCATCTTCTTCTGGAACAGAAAGCCCATTTGGGTGACTGATTTAAAAAAAAAACAAAACAGGAAAACAAATATTCACTAATGTATTTTGCTTGGTAAGCAAAATGTTTCAAAATGTAGAGGAAAACAGTAAGAAAACCTCTGGTTGGTGTTATAGATTGAATTGTGTCCATTACAAAAGATGTGTTGAAGTCCTAAATCTAGTATCTCAAAATGTAGTGTTATTTGTAAATAGGGTCATTGAAGATGTAATTAAGTTATAATGAGTTCACACTGGAGTAGGATGGGTGGGCCCCTAGTTCAATGTGATTGGTGTTCTTCCAAAAAGAGAACAATTTGGACACAGACACAGAGGGAAGATGGCCATGTGGTAAGATTGCTGGTAGAAATGAGAACTGGACACCCCAAAATGAAAGCCTCAGCAACAGCCTCTTCCCCAAGGTGGGCCATAGAAACCAGAGCCCCCTTTCCCCCAAGCCAGCCATAAAACCTAAAAATAGTCTAACTTTCCCTCTCCCTCTCTGCCATTTGGTATAAAAACTGGCCATAAAGACATTAATTATTTGACTTATCTCATCTGATAAGAGCTTATAAGGCCCCCGTTCCAGAGATAGTCCTGCCCCACACACAGAAAGAAAGTATTATGGTTTGGCTGTGTCCCCACCCAAATCTCATCTTGAATTGTAGTTCCCATAATCCCCATATATCATGGAGAGACCTGGTGGAAGGTAATTTAATCATGGGGGCAGTTACCTCCATGCTGTTCTTGTGATAGTGAGTGAGTTCTCATGAGATCTGAACGTTTTAGAAGGGGCTTTCCCCTCCTTCGCTCTGCACTTCTCCTTGCTGCTGCCACATGAAGAAGGACATGTTTGCTTCCTCTTCCACAATGATTGTAAGTTTCCTGAGGCCTCCCCAGCCCTGCTGAACTTTGAGTCAATTAAACCTCTTTCCTTTACAAAAATACACAGTCTTGGGTATGTCTTTATTAGTAGTGTGAGAACAGACTAATACAGAAGGAACGCTCTACAGAGAGGCCAAGAGGAATCTAACAGACAGCCTTCATGGGTTTCCCCACTCAGCCTATTAACATTAGATCTTATCCTCTTTGTCCCCTTATATTTCTACATAGCTGCCCGTAGTTTGTTGAACCTAAGCATAAAAATGGCCAGTTTCCCTATATCTTTGGGTCTTCATTTTGAAGGCTCCTGGGTGATACAAACTATGACCAAATAAGTTTGTTTGTCTTTTCTCCTAATGAATCTGCCTTCTGTCAGTTGATTTTCAGTGAACCTTCAGAGGGCAAAGGGGACATTTTCCCTAGGCCCCTGCAAGGCCGAAATTGGAATGGTGTATCTGTAAGCCAAGGAACTCCAAGGATTGCTGGTTGTTACCAGAAGTGTGGAGCAAATTCTCCCAGAGTCCTGAGAAAGATCAACCCTGCCGGCACCTTGATTTCAGACTTCTAGCCTCCAGAGCTGTAAGGGAGTAACTCTATGTTGTTTTAAGCAACAAAATAGTTTGTGGTACTTTGTTACAGTAGCTTTAGGAAATTAGTACAATTGGGAACTAGTGACCTGGTATGCTTAAACATGGGAGAGACAAACAGACATACAAGATGCATCACAAACTCAAAGTCAGGACAACCCGTTTTCTAGGCACACATTCCCATAATGGGACAGAGAACTGAGAGCAAAGTCTAGGAGGTGTAGAGACTGGTCTGGAAGCACCTGGATGCTTGGTTTCAACTGCCTGCCCTTGAGTGGGCCACATGGCAACAAGCATCTCCCCGTAACAATGATGGACTAAGGTCAGATACTCCCTTCTGTTGGCTGGGCAAACAGCAACCCTTACATTACAAATGGTTGGGATGAAATATTTACCCAAATGACATTGCTCAGTGTGGGGTTGTGGCATAAGGCAGCTATCTCATTTATTAAAGCTGATTTACATGGACTGATTTTGGCTTCCACAAAGAAACCATGAGGTCCTAACTGTAGTACCTCCAAATGTGACCTTATTTGGAAACAGGGTCACTGAAGATGTAATTAAGTTATGAAAGTTACTTTGGAAAGTAACTTCAAATGAAGAAGTAGGGCAGGAAAAATGTGTCCCCTAACCACCATCAAAAACAGGAGAATGTACATGTATTTCATCCGTTACATTTTTTTCCACAAGTATTTTTGCTTTGAATCCTCACTTTAGAAACTGTTTCTCCTGAAAGCTAGGTGGCATTTCAGGGTCACTCTCTGCTAACAGGTGAAGGCCTGTCACAATTTATTACTATTTCAGTTAAAAGATTCACTCAAATAAATCACAGAGATTCTTAAAGTTGCTACAGAATCAGGGCACTTTTTGGGTTCTAACTTGGAGGGAGGAATTCAAGACCACAGACCCCACTTTGATGTAAGCATTTACACAGAACTTGGATCTGACTCAGAAAATTTTAGGACCACCTGGGGCAGATGGAAGAAAGTATTTAATGAGCACCTACTGTGTTCCAGGACCCATGGTAGGTGCATTTCACGGAAATCACATCTGTTACCCTGTGGTCCTGTGGCAGAGACATACAAAGGGGGTCGTTTCAAATGGAAAACATCTAGTTAGTCTGCAATGATCCAAACAAAAATTTTAAAAGAACACGATAGTTCCTTCTCTTAGAAGCCCAAAATCCACTTTCTTGGAGTCTAATGAAATGAGCCCTTTTTTTTTGGAAATGCAGTGACTCCAGGGTCTCCAGGCAGGAATAAATCTTGGCTCTGAGTAGATCTTTCATCCCCTGTAATGAATTCCTCAGGCCCTGCCAGTCCGAGAGCAGCAACGGCTCCCTGAGAGGCCTGTTCTCAGGACAGAGTTTCATTGTATTCAACACTGTGATCTTCCTGCCAAAAATTAATCCCACAAGCCACATCTTGAACAACACCCCCACCCCCACGCAGTCTGAGCCTCCCTCAGACTTTTGAATTTGAAGAAGTTGGAAAGATTTGGAAAGCGGGGGTTACTTTCTTAAGCAGGACAGATGCATTGAGACCACCTTGCCAATCATAAATAGAAGACTGGCTTCAGTTCCTCGGTCATAATTAAGCAAAACCACAATTGTTTCTCAACAAGCCCCTGACTGTTGTGTTCTCTGTCCAGGTGGCCGGATCACAAGACCCCAGGTACTTTTAAGGAAGTGGACTGGTCATGTGTGTGTCCTCTATATCATCCTTTTTGGCTCTCATTGTCGTTGTGTGATTAGTTACGGTATCATGACAAGACCTGGGGAGAGCGAGGTCACCTTCTGAGATAAAACACTCAGCAAGTGCCCCCCAGTGGTGGTGGTGGTGGTGGTTTTTAATTGACAAATAATAGCTGTATATATTTACAGGTTGCACTGTGGCTAGAGGACATTATGCTAAGTGAAATAAGCCTCCGGCAGTTGCTAGAACAGGTGAGGCTCTGCGGGTTCTCAAATAACAGTTACTATTTATATGTCCCTGAAGAGTCTTCCGGATTTGGGAGCTGCGGGTGAACGGTATGAGCAATCGTAAAAAATCTGAGCAGCTGCAACTTCCACCTTGCCTGGGCCTGGCTCCATCCTGCAATATCTCCCTCCCAACCTCTCTCCTTTATCTGTCCCCCATCCCTCCCCATGCCAGAGTTAGGGGCTTTGCATGATACTGTTCTGCCTAGTGCTTGCTTTGCTGTTAAACTTCAGTCAACCTGAATCGCTGAATCCCTGGAGAAATCGAGTGGTTAAAATCTCAACATGGGAATTTTAGGTCCTTGTCAATCACATTCTAATTTTGACCTGGGCAGGTGTGATGCGTGGGTCCTTCTCTCCCTCTGCCCCACCCAGATACATCATCCCAAACTAGCACCAGGCTGACACCCACTCAAATACCTCTAAAGTTACATAATTGTCTAAATATAAAATCCAGACTCTCTGGCCTGGCATTCAAACTTGCCTACTCCCAGCCCTTCCCCAGAAGACACCCTAACGTACCTTCCAATGGTCTTTCCCACTTATTATTTATTTATTTATTTATTTATTTATTTATTTATTTATTTATTTATTTTTGTTAGCCGGAGTCTCGCTCTGTCACCCAGGCTGGAGTACAGTGGCGTGATCTTGGCTCACTGCAACCTCCGCCTCCCGGGTTCAAGTGATTTTCCTGCCTCGGCCTCCGAGTAGCTGGGACTACAGGCACCCGCCACCACGATCGGCTAATTTTTGTATTTTTAAAGAGACGGGGTTTCACCCTGTTGGCCAGGCTGGTCTCGAACTCCTAAACTCCTGACCTCAAGTAATCCACCCACCTCGGCCTCCCAAAGTGCTGGGATTACAGGCATGAGCCACCACGCCTGGCCCCACTTACTCTTTATTTTTGAAAATCACACTGCTTTTTCAAAAGTTACGAGAGACATGTTAGTTGCCAAACCCAAAGCACTAAGTTCTAGCCTCTGTACTGATTGGTGCCAGGCACCTGCTGGCCTCTCCTGCTTTCCTAAACATCTCCCTGCCTTTCCTCCCACTCCACCATGCTCTCCTGGCTCTTTAAAAGCAGCTCCACTCTGTTGCCTTTTCTCTAACCCCTCTTCCTTCTTCTGTTCATTTAACTTGGATTTCATAAGAATCCTAATGACCCTAGCTGCCATTCCCTGGGCTCTGCCCTGGTGCCAGGCATTGAAATCAGGGCTTTACACACACAATCTTATTTAATTCTCATCATTGCCCTGTATGGGAGTTTCTATCATTATGCCCAATTTACAGATTAAGAAATTAAGGCTCAGAGAGATTCAGCAATCTACCCAAGGTCACACAGCTAGTTAGTGACAGAGCGGGGCTCAAACTCAGGTATGACACCATAGCTGTGGTGTTCATTACCACCCTGGAGGCTGTTTGGCCTCCTTTCCTCTCCCCACTCCTCCTGTCCAGTTTCTTCTCCTCTTTTCCTCCCTCTACTCCCCTCCCCTCTTCTCTCCACTTGCAGTCCTCTTCCCTTTGGAAATCTCATGGATCTTGGAGCTTTGCACTGCTGCCTGAATGACCTCCCCTCAAAGCTCAACCTTCAGCCTCCATTTATTGCTTGAGCTCCAAACGCATCCCCATATTTACAGCTTTCTGATGATCACCTCTTCCTTCGTGAGCCTTGTAGGTCCGAAGATAGCCCCTCACCTCCTCTCTCCTGCCTTGCCCCAAGACCCTGCTTTCCTAGCCAGCATCACTCTCCTCCTGCTCACCTAGACTCAAGGCCTCTCTTTCCCTTGGGTCACCTTTCCCTCCCCACCCCCACCCAGTTCACACACCTCACTGGTCCTTCCCTTCCGCCTCTCAGTGGCTCAAATGTCTTTCTTCCCCTCCATCCCACCTCCATTTGGCTATGTCAGGCGTGGGTACCGCTTATTTCCATCACTGCAAGGGCCTTTGGTTTTAGAGCCTGTTTTCCTAACTCACATAGCGATGTCAAGTAACTTTCCATGAGCTGGAGCTCAGATTGAATTCATAAAAGCTAACTCTTACCTAACATGAAATGGCAGG